>NC_000016.10:64259469-64562500 GCF_000001405.40 Homo sapiens
ATAGCTTTTCAGTCTTAAGAGCAAGGTAGAGTCTCAAGAAGTCTCCTCAAATGTAATCTTGTTCCAAGGTCTTGTGAGATAAAGGGAAGAATATTAATCTTTACCACTTTGGATAAGTCTTTACTATTTTTAAATTTAGAAAGGAAATGTTGCTAAATCTAGAAGGATTTTATAAACAACAAGAGTGTCTGTTGTAACTCTTTTTGTTGTTGATGGTCTAATGTAGATCATTTTCCCCAGAGTGACTAAAAAAAAATACCAATACTCTACAGATAAAGGAAAATCGATAAGAAGCGTTTTTGGAATGTTTCTTTTTCATAGCGATTGACCTGCGCATTTTATATACAATCTATTATTTAAGCCTCACAACTCCATGAGAAAAAAACAGAACAAATATCAGCGTGTGATAAGGAAACTGAGGCAGAATTGAATTGGTCAAAGTAATATAAAGAGTAATATTTGAAGGCCGGAAGCGGTGGCTCACGCCTGTAATCCCAGCACTTTGGGAGGCCGAGGCAGGCAGATCACGAGGTCAGGAGATCGAGACCATCCTGGCTAACACGGTGAAACCCTGTCTGTACTAAAAATACAAAAAATTAGCCGAGCTTGGTGGCGGGCGCCTGTAGTCCCAGCTACGCGGGAGGCTGAAGCAGGAGAATGGCGTGAACCCGGGAGGCGGAGCTTGTAGTGAGCCAAGATCACCTCACTGCGCTCCAGCCTGAGTGACAGAGTGAGGCTCTTGTCTCAAAAAAAAAAAAAAAAAAGTACAGTTTGGATTGTGTTCTAAAATCACAAATGTCCACTTGAAAAGTTATATCCTTGTTTATTCTGCAGTGATGCCATTGTAATCTTTTTTTATAATTAAACATTTTATTATTACAAATTTAAATTTGTTCTCTTTTCCCTATATCACCATTTAACTGAACAACAACACAACGAAAACTGGTCGCCTTAAAACCAATTTGAAACAGGTTGTTCAGGAGCAACAATACAAAAACAAAGTGTAGACTGGAATGTATTACATTTTGGCCAAACAAAAAGATTTGATTCATTCTGGCTCATGAAGTTAGATAATGGTGTTTATGGTTTTGACAGTTCACTGAAACTTTTTCACTGAACTGGTTTCTTTCGGATGCATTTTCTTGAGTTCTACCCATGACTGCCACAGTAGCAGTCCTGGGATCAGAACCCACACACCGTTAAAAAAAAAACAGGTAAAGCCAACAGTACAGCCAGCCAGTTGCTGGTGTTGAGGTTGGGGCTTCTGGTGAGCCACTCTGGGAGGAAGGTCATCCAGCAGCCATACATCTCGCACACGCACAGGGTGATCTGCAGGAAATGCCGGTAATATTTTTCCTTGACTATGGCATAAATGAGGAACAATGCCAGAGACACATCTAGGGCGACGGCCAGAATTTCCACAGACACAATGGTTGGATCAAAATAAACCCATCTTGCATCAGCTTTGCCATATTCTTTCCATAAAGAAGCAATCAAGCCATCGGAATTTGCAACGTTTCCTACTAAAGACAAGTAGACAAAAGGGCCTTCTTTTTATTTTCTTTCTTTTTTTTTAATGGTGCTACAGCAATTTATCAGTGTTCTTGAAATTTCATTCTGTGGATCCCAGGACCCCAGCACTCTCCTGGTTCGTGGTCTTGCCCACTCTCTCCAGCGCGAAGTGCACCAGCGCGTCGTAGCAGAGCCAGATGAGCGCCCCGCGGTCCGTCGCCCCCCGCCCGCGGCCCAGGCGCAGGCCCAGGGTGCAGCCCCTGTAATCTTTCAAAGTACTGTAGTTTGCCCTTTAGTCCATCTATGCCAATTAATTACAAGCATTTTATTCTATCAACTTCTATCTGTGGAGTCCAAGAATCCAACAATCCAAACACCCAATAATCCAAAGAACAAGAATAAACTTGTAATTCCAGATATGCCTTTATAAAAGCAGAACCACCAGGAAACTGCACTACCTGTGGAGGCCCCTTGGATCTGTCCCCACAAAAACAAAATTTGGCCAGTACTCCAAGTCTTATGTGATGACATAAATCCACTTTCAAGCCAGTACAGAATGTGGAGTAGGCACACGGAATTTCAATTCAGACTAGTTAAGGTCTGTATTTTGGTTCTGTTACTAACAGAGTAATTCAGCAGAATCATTTGATTTGTATTAACCTCAAACCTGTCATGAGAAAATAGGAACACTAAGTGTACCTACCACAGAACTGTTGTGTTTTTTACACCCCTTGGGAAATATTTAACACTGTTTCCTGTGCATACTAAATACTCATATAAACTCTTTGTATCTTCATCTTTATTGTCATCATTATCTTTATCATCATGTTATAATTACTTGCTTCTTGATTCACCCTTAATGACTCTTTGGATCAGAAAAACATTGTCAATAGAAACAGAGATTGACCGCTGGTCAATTAGACAGTCACCTCTCAGAAAGAAAGGTCAAGTGTAAATTTATAAACTCTTTTTACTAAATGGGACAGAACCTGTCTTCTAATTAAGCCAAGGAGAATGTTTAATAGGTAAGATAGTTAAGGAGTCAGAGAGAGGGCGAAAAAAATAATAATACTGACAAAAAACAAAGAAAGAAAGATAAACAAAGAGGAAAGATGATAGTTTTGGCTAGAGTTTCTTTCTCTTTAGATTCTTTAAATTATACTAATTACTTGAGACTCATCACTTCAGAGAAATTGACACTCCGTGTACAACTCAACTTTCTTGTATAATTAGTTATTTGCTTTTTAACCCTTTAGTTTAATCATAACTGGGCTTTTCTCTAGTTCAAATTAGAAGGAGGAAGACTTAGAAATTGTAAGTGATGCTATCCTCTTGAAAACATTAGCTTTGTCAGGAAAATATGAAAGCAGAAATTAGCAAGACATTTGTACACATGGTTTTATTGGTTTGGTACTTATTGGAATGCTTTTCTAAGATATGTTGTCAGTAGTTTTAAAGGATTTTAGTTAGCCATGAAACAGCTTGTTTAGAATTGTACTTGTGTCAAAAAAAAAAAAGAAAGAAAAAGCGGGGGCGGGGGACGGGTAACGAACAATTCTTAAGTAGAAAGGGATTTTTTTGCAAATTCAGCTCCCTAGAAGAATCAATACCGTATCATAACTTCCCCCCCCCCGCCCCCCGTTGAAATAGTGTGGTTTAAATATAAAGATTCTATTCTTCCCTGGGAAAAAGCAATGTTTAAATTTTCCACCTGACATGTTATAGTGTTATATTTCATGTCAGGTTGTTTCAGCCACGGCAAATGATAGGAAGCCTCAGTGATACTATGATACGAATTCTGCAGCTCACATTGAGTTATCTTCGTGAGACATATCAGCCTGTAAACATACATGGGAAATACGTGCCATTCTGAAAAACAGAGATAATACCCACGGGTCCCAGAGATAGCGATGTTCATCATTTATTTGTGATGCAGGTTGAAGGTAACAAAGCAAGACAGTAACACTATTTATTCGGCTTAATAAAATTAAGACAACAGAAAGATTTGTTGTAATTCAGTGGATCAACACAAAAAACAGCCAAGTACAACCAGTTGAGTTTAAATAAATAGTTCTAAAAATGACATGAAAGAGCTCTAAAATTTATCTCATCTCTACTGTGTGCCAGGTTCATTTCAATATATCACTTGATTTAATAATCACAATTTTTTATGAAGGCAGTATTATTCTCACTCTTCATTTCTCCCCCCAAAAAGTAATAAAGAAAGCAAAACTACTTCATTTAACTAAATTGCTCACCATTTTATTATTCAATTGTCTAAATAGTATGCAATGTCTTCCAACTTATTTGCTGGGCTTTGAGTCAAGAGACAAATAGTGAGTTTTTCTGTTGTCACAAATAAGACTCTATTTCAGGCCTTCATTACCCCTGGCTTGAAGTTTTGCAGTAATTTTCTTAACTGACTTTTTTCAAATTCAGTTCTCCTTTAAAGCTTTTCATCCATTGTAGCTTAGTTTTTATTATCTTTAAGTATAACACCAGTCATTCACTTATTTCCTCAGAAATTGTCCACTGGAATTATTTCCAGTTTTAGAATGGCTTCTAAGTAACCAAGAATCACTGGCTTAGACTCTCCTAATTTCCTACGGGAATAATTAGAAACCCACAGAAATCCTCAACCTTTTTTCCTAGACAGCCAAAGAACTCTGGTAGGGTTTGGAAACTGAGTAGATATAGATGCAGCTCAACTCTCATAGAACTGGCCACAACGAGAGATAAAGCTAGTGTTAAGAAAACCAAAGACATTCTCTCCTAAAATATCAATGCCAAAGTGCTTTAAACAGGCTGGGAGACCAAAGGAAAAAAAAAAGGTGGAGGCCATTAAGCCAGTTCCTAAAATATAGGAGAGAATAGACAGAAAAATAGGAAGCTTCAGGTTAATCCCTGAGCTATTCATATGTAAAGTGTAAAGGTCGGCTGTCTTAAAGATATTCATAGGTATATATTATAAATGCTTAGCCAACTGTGCAGGTAGAAGAAGAAAAATCAGGTTCACGTACTGCCCCAAAATTTCAGTGTGTCTGGAGTTGGTTCCTTCCGGTGGGTTCTTGGTCTTGCTGACTTCAAGAATGAAGCCGTGGACCTTTGCGGTGAGTGTACACCTCTTAAAGGTGGCACGGACCCAAAGAGTGAGCAGCAGTAAGATTTATTGTGAAGAGTGAAAGAACAAAACTTCCACAGCGTGGAAGGGGACTTGAGCTGATTGCCAGCTACTGGCTGCAGTGGCCAGCTTTTATTCCCTTATTTGTCCCTGCCCACATCCTGCTGATTGGTCCATTTTACAGAGGCTGATTGGTGCATTTATAATCCTCTAGCTAGACACAGAGCACTGACTGGTGTGTTTTTACAGAGTGCTGATTGGTGCGTTTACAATCCTCTAGCTAGACAGAAAAGTTCTCCAAGTCCCCACTCAACCTAGGAAGTCCAGCTGGCTTCACCTCTCATCAGGACTTTCCAAGAACTGGAGCCAGATTGGGAAACTGGCAGCCAATATTTGCTATGCAACAAATCATAGAAATCCAACTGTCAGGTATTTAGAGAGTCCCTTTACCTCTTTAATGATAGTTCTTATCTTGGTTCAGAAAAGATTTTTCTATCAACTCTGCAACCATTCTTCTACCACTGCATATGATTTTTCAGTTGGGACAAGCCGAAGGCTCTTTCTTTCTTATCCACAATCAGTATCTCAATTGCTACTTCTCCTCTCAGACTAGGACATCTAGAAAACATTTGGCTAGGATATAGCAGCTACAGGAATTGGCTACAGATAGAGAAGGTGGCAGGACGGCTCCTGGTGGGCATGCATGCAGGAGATTGTCGTCGGGTATTCCATCTGGCAGCTGGTCTGAAAACCTGATATTTGGGATAAAACTGTGCCTCTTCAGTCTAGCAATCTATAGTAGATTAAAGCAGGTACTATACTGGGAAGTGGGCTCACAGCTATTTAAAACAACCTACTTCCAGCTGTGGAATGCCACAGGCATTCCATATAATGGGATGGTTAAGCCAATTTCAACTAGTAGGCCTCTTCTATTCAGGCAACCAAAATGAAATAAAAATAAAATAAATCTGTTTAATTTTTATATCTCCTTAGAAATACATTAGACAGCAATGGAAAGACATATTGCTCAGAAACCAAAGGACAACTCCTGTAAACCTTATAATTTAATGTTGTAAAGGAAAATCTGTTTTGATAGACTGGTTAATAGAATGAGGTGTAAGTCAGTTCAAAAAAGTACAAAAATATACTTGCAGTATAAATCTACCTCTATCAATATCAACATGTATGTTGTTTGGAGGGATTATATGTTCATGCTTAACTGGAAGCAAGTATATAAAATATATAACTATCCTCTGAATAATGGATTTTGCGTGACTTGAATGCTCTCTTATATGCTTTTCTATATATTCAAATTTTCTATAGTGCTACATTTTCTCATTATAGTAAAAATATAATCATGACTAAAAAATGAATGAAAAAAATAAATCAATAGAGCAAACATGCAGAAACTCTTCACGTGCTGGGGCTACTTAGCAATGCTGTGCTACTTAGCTTTCAAGGCCTTCTGTATTGGGAATCTAATTATCACTATAGTGTTATTACCATTTTTCTTACAAACATGCCAAACAGAACTTCTCACTTTAAAGAAGAGGAAGCCTCTGGCCAAGGCACTCTAAACCTAGACCAAGAAACACATACAAAAAAAAATATTGACAATATATTACTTTTATAGTCAGACAATTGATATTCAGTATTTAACACAAAAGGAAACTTCTGGTTCCTGACATGCTCATCTCATTAACAAAAGGTTTGTTTATAAGTGTTTTATGTTAAGGGAAAAGATAATCTTGGAATTATTTTGTCTACTCATCCACATGTGCACACAATTTCCTTTTTCTGACTGTATATTCCAGATCATGTGGCCCATTAACCACAATCCATATATGTATATCACCTGTGGCTGTCATCATAGCTTGCTTTGACTTGTTCTCTCATCTGGTATCACTTTTCCAAAGCAATATTTCAAGGTCCAAATAAAATACCCCCAACAGTTAGAGATAATATCCCTCCTTTGACATCCTAAGGCACTTACCCTAACATTTTGCAAGCATTTTTCCCCACTACATTACTGAGTAAGGTCATATTTTGAAGGGCAAGAGGCTCCCATTCTTTGGGTTCTCTGGTTAACACATAGCTGGGCACACAGTTAATAAATATGCATGGAAAAAGGGACTATCCAGGTTTTCCAACAGGCACCACAGTCCTTTGGAACTGTTCCAAGGGGCTCAGAGGAAGGCTTTGATTGCGCAGAAATAGGACTGTAGGGACCAAGGAAGAAAAGAGGGAAGGGGAGCACTAAAAGTCTTTTAGCTTTGTCACAATGTTTACCCCCACAATTTTTACCTTCTTCACGCTTTTGCCTCATACTGTACCCAACATAATGTGAATGGTAGAGACAAGGACCTGAAATTGCAACTGATACCTACCACACTAACTGGAAATTAGTCTATTGAATGCAAACAATAAGATAGAATTGCCAGAGCCAAAGAAATGTTAGTTATTCTCTTTTCCTAGAAATAAAGTAGCCAAGAGTTATAATAGCAGCAGAATGAGAAAAAAAATGCACTGCCTTTTCAAGTCCAAATGCATTCTTCTCTTTACTTTAAAAGGAAATCTAGATGGGGGCTTTTTGAAAGCTATGTAAAAAGTACATGTGATATCTTTCATAGATACTTATATGTATGTGTGTATTATAGATGGTTATATCATTTTTTAAATAATATATCTATCTATAATACACATGGATATATTACTTGAAAATGATATATAATATATCCATCTATAATACACACATGTATTTGCATTTATATATACGTGTGTGTGTATATATATATATATATATATATATATATATATATATACCCCTTTATTTATAGTGCATCTCTGCACCAACTCAATGATAATATCTTGGGATTTTAAAGACATAAGAAGCCTGAGATATCATCAGGTCTGACTTTTCTTCTGTGCAACAGATGCAGCCACACCAGAGCATATGGCCATCCCTTCACTGCTATGTTACTGTGAATGTTCAATATATTCCATTTCAACTTGACTACAAGTTTCTTAAGGGAAGCCCTATGTCTGTGTGTTGTGTTGCTATAAAAGAATACCTGAGACTGGATAATTTATAAAGAAAATGCTTTTATTTAGCTCACGATTCTACAAGCTATACAAGCATGGTACCAGTATCTGCCTAACTTCTGGTGAAGGCTGAGAAAGCTTTTACTTATGGTGGAAGGTGGAGGGTGAGCGGGTGTGTGACATGATGAGAGAGGGAGCAAGAGAGAGACCAGACACTTTTGAACAAAAAGCTCTGAGTGATCTAATAGAGTGAGAACTTACTGATTACCATGGGGAAGGCACCAAGCCATTCATGAGGGATCCCCTCCCATGACCTAAACACCTCCCACTCTGCCCCATCTCCAACACTGGGAATCACATTTCAACAAGAGATTTGGAAGGGACAAACATCCAAACTATGACAGTCTGCTTTATCTCTGTAACTTAAATTCCTACCTTGAGAAATGGTAAAAATCCAAGAAATGATGGAACAAGTACATACATTAGTGAGTCACTCTAATAATATAAAAGTTCTGTTTTGCTTATATTTTGCTAAAATTTTCCTTTTTCTATCTTTCACTGAGAATCTTGCTTTACTTTGAAAGCACAAAACAAGAGTCTGGTCCCTCTTTAAATTATCAATTGCTGCTGCCAAGACCTCCCTTGTGCTTCTAATACTCTTGTGGCTCATTAACGGCAAATTTTCGTGATCTCTTGGAACCCTTTTCAATAGAGGTCCCACTTGGTCAATATTTCTTGGTCTTTGATGGACCCTGGGGCAATAGATTCTAGGTTATTGATTTTAGATTGGCTGCCTAAGTTTGGACGAGTGTATGACTTGACATGTGCTGCTTTTAAAAACAAAGATTTTTAGATTCTAACTCTAGAGATTTTTCCATTTTATGGAGAGGTTCCAATGGTGACATTTGTAAAGTTTCTCAGGTGATTCTGATATACTAGTATCAGATCTGAGGAAGTCAGTTGCTCACAACAAGATGGTGTTTGCCCAAAGAAGCACTTCTATGAAGAAAAGTCGGTGTGAGGAAGGGAGGGCTGAAGCCAGGAATAGAATGGCCCAAAGTTATAATTTACCACAAAGATGAAAATGCTTAATAATAATGTTCATCAAAATGCAGTGCACATATTATTTGTATTACTAGAGGTAATTAGGGTTAAATTATAGTAATTTAGGAGTATAGTAGAAAATATACCTCTTTAACATTAATTCAAGTCTTAAGAAGTTTCCTTTCTTTGAATTATTTTTCGGTTATGCTGACTGCATCAAGGAGAAAGTCTTCATTTGGTGTTATCTCTTAATGCCTCTCTAACACTTGCTAATTTCCATTTGAAACAAAGAAAAAAGCTTCCCCTAGGTTCAGAGCTTTGGAGAAAATAAACTCGTATTAGAATTTAATAACATTCTTTTATTTTCTTAGATTTATTTTTACCTCGTCGTTATGGCAAGTGATACCAGTTTTCCATGTAAAACACCAATATATTCAAATCTCTTTAGTACACATGCTTAAGTAAAACTGCTGAGTTTATTAAAATATCAAATGAATTGTGCAGATTACACTTGGTTGAGAAAAAACTGTGAATATGGCAAGAAATGACTACAGGGTAGAAAACTGATCATTAGTAATAGATTAAAAAATAGCAACACAGTTGAACCTGGAGAATGACATGTTAAGTGAAATAAGCCAGAGAGAAATAAAAATACTGAATAATCTCATTTATATATAAAAGGAAAAAAGAAAAAAGCCAAATACATACAGAGAACAGAATGTTGGTTACCAGTGGCAGGGAGAAGGAGAAAATGGGGAGATGTAAGTCAAAGGGCACAAACATGCAGTTACATAGAATAAGTCTAAAGATGTAATGTACAGAAGTAGGACTACAATTAGCAATATTGTATTGTATGTTGAAAATTTGCTATGAGTGAAGATTATGTGCTCTGATACAAAACGAAAAATAAGAAGTAACTATAGAAAGTGATGGATATGTAAAATTGCTTACCTGCAGTAATTATTTCACTATGGATAAATAAAACATTATGTTACTGTATATCTTAAATTTATACAGTTAAAAGAAATAGCAAGTTATCAAAAGTCTGCCAGAAACATACTTCTGTGTAATTAGGAATAGGGAGGGAATAAGTAAGGAATGAAATTTTAACTAGCTTCAGATTTCTTAAGAAAAAATATTCCTTTTGAGATTTCCATGTTTCTGTTAGAAAGTTCTGGGGCCCACATTGTTTGAGAAAATTATGGAAGAATGAATTAGAAAACTGATTATCTCATGCCCTTTGAGATCCCATACACAGTACATTAATATAGGTATATTAGTCAGGGTACTACAGACAAAGAGAACCAAAGAAAAACAGCAACAACTATATAAATAGAGAGATAAATATATCTTTATATCAATATAATTTTTATATATAAATAGAGAAAGAGAGAGAGAGAGAGGCTTATTACATGGAAAATGGCTCACATGACTATGAAAGTTGACAAGTTCCAAGATATGCATTCAGCAAACTGGAGACCCAGGAGAACTGATGGTGAAGTTCCAGCCTTCAGGCTGGCAGGTTTGAGACCCAGGAAGAGTCAGTGTTTCACTTGGAGTCCAAAGGCAGAAAAATACCAGTGTCCTAAGGAGATAATTCTAGGATGGACTAAGAAGCACCAGATTATCTGTCTCCCCACCTAAACAACAATTAAACTGGTAGAGTCTGTCTGATGTAACTATGTTGAAACTCTGAAGTTCATTGACACCTTGCAACTTCCAGGGTAATAACTCAATAGTAAATTGTGGTTAGTTTCAGTTTATTTTAGCTATAAGCACAGAAGCAGCTACTCATCTGCCACAACCAGCCCCATGGTAGGCAGCTGTGCACATATTTCTGGAGCAGACTGCACATGGTGTAAGTAAAAAGAACTCTGTCCTTCAAAAATCAGAAATCTGTGTTTTGATGACTGATTGCTGCTTCTGATCGCAGATACAGACAAAAGAGGTGGGTGGTCACTGCTTTTACAGCTGCCTTCATTGTGGCAAACCCCTTCTACTTCAGTTGAAGTAACTTCTAGGGAAGTTAAAGGGATGACGCCCTTCTCCATCCCACTTCATTTTTCTTTTTCCCTTTTAAGAGCCACATAGTGAAGACAAGGACATTGGAAAGGAACCGTATATGCTGTCAAAATTAGAAAGTGACAACAGAGCCCAGAAAAAGGCACAGGCTCAGAAAATACCTAAATCCTTGCACAGAGAGAGCTTTCAACAATAAAACAAACAAACACACAAATAACAAATAGCAGATAATCTCAAGGAAAGAGAAGACTCTAATGTCCAGAGATACCACATTATTAGATTCAAAATGTCCAGTTTTCAACAAAAACTCCCAAGGCATAGAAGCAGCAGGAAATTATGGTACGTTCAAAGGAAAAACAATTAAACTCATAGAAACATTGCTTCATGAAAACCTGATGGCAGATATATGAAAGACTTTAAACAATTGTCTTAAAAAGGCTTAAAAATCTAAAGGAAGTTGAGAGGAGTGTCAAGAAAATGATATATAAACAAAATTGGGAATATTAATAAAGAGAACACATGAAAAGGAACAAAATATTCTGGAGCTGAAAAATTTAATAACCAAAATAAAAAATGTTCTACGGGGATTCAAAAGCAAATATAAATAGGCAGATCAAAAATCAGTGACCTTGAAGATAAAACAATGGAAATAATTAAGTCTGAGGAACAGAAAAAAAAACAAAATTAAAGTGTACAGAGCCAATGGTACCTATAAGACACCATCAAGAAAACAAGTTATGCTTTGTGGACATCCTAGAGGGAGAATAGAGAGAAAAAAAGGCAAAGACAATATTTAAAAAAATAATGACGAAAATCTTCCCAAACTTAATGAAAGACATGAATATAAATAACCAATACGTGGAACAAAGTCCAAGTGAGAGGAAGTCAGAGACCCACACCAAGACACATTATAAACAAATCTTTGAAAGAAAAGTTCAAAAAGAGAATCTTGAAAGCAACAAGAAAGAAGCAAGTTGTCACGTAAAAGGGATTTTCAATAAGATTATCAGCATATTTCTTAACAGAAACTCTTGAGGCTAAAATGTAGTAAGCCCATATTTTCAAAGTGTTGAAAGAAAAAAAAACAGCCAAGAATGTGGCAAAGTAGTCCTTCAGAAGTGATGGAAAAATTAAGATATTCACAGATAAACAAAAGCTGAGGGAGTTAATTAACACTAGAGATGACCTGTAAGAAACACTCAAAAATATCCTGCAGAGAAAAATGAAAGGACACTAGAAATTAATTTGAAGCTGTATAAAAAAATAAATATCTCAATAAAAGTAAATGGGCAATTATAAAATCTAGTATTATGGGCAATTATAAAATCTAGCATTATTTTTAAATGGTTTGTAACTGCATTTTTAATACAATTTAAGAGACTAACATATTAAAAAATAGCTTAAAAGCTAGTATTAGTGTAACTTTGGTTTAAATCTTTACATTTTGTCTGCCATATAATTTAAGAGATAAATATATTCAAAATAATTGCTAGTTTATGCTTTTTTGCACAATGTATAAAGATAATTTTGAGATATCAACAACTGAAAGTGGTGGTAATTGAGCTATAAAGAAGAGTTTTGTTTTTTATTTGAGTTAAGCTGATATAAGTTCAAATTTGAGTTTTATAATTTTAGGATGTGAGATTTAATCCCCATGGTAACCACAAAGAAACTATCTGTAAAATATATACAAAAAAGACAAAAGAATTTAAATGTTGCGCTGCAAAATAGCAAACACACAGGAAAAACAAAGAGTGATGCAGAAAATACAAGACCAAAAAACTATAAAGCATAAAGAAAGCAGTTAGCACGATGACAGAAATAAGTCCCTCCTTATTAGTAATTAATTTTGATGTAAATGGATTAAACTGTCCTATCAAAAGAGATTGGCAGAATGAATTTTTAAAAAATGATCCAACTATATTCTCTCTACAAGAGACTCATCTTAGATCTAAAAACACAAGTAGATTGAAATGTTGACATATGCTACACCCTGAATGAACCTTGAGGGCATTATGCTAAGTGAAATGAACTAGTCACAAAAAAAGAAATAGTTTATGATTCTGCTTACATAAGATACTTAGATCAATCACAGTCATAGAGACAGACAGTAGAATGGCAAGTGCCAGAGGGGAGCTAGAAGGGGATAGAGAAAATGAGGAGTTCTTGTCTAATGAGTATAAATTTTAGTTTTAGAGGAACAAAAAAGTTATGGAGATGGATGGTGCTGATGGTGGCACAATATTATGATTGTATTTAGTACCATTGAACTATACGCTTAATATGGCTAAGATGGTACATTTTGTTATGTGTATTTTACCACAATAAATTAAAATTGAGGGGAAAAAAAGAGAGAGAAAAAAACAACAATGTCCAAGGCATCTGACAGGCTTTTTAATAATGGGAAAGTCAGCCATTTTGTCCTGTTTAGACCATCAGCTTATTGGATGAAGCCCATTCACAACTGAGAGAACAATCTGCTTTACTCAAAGGTGCCCGATTTAAATGTAAATCTCATTCAGAAACACCTCCACAGACACACCCAGAATAACGTTTGACCAAATCTGGGCACCATGTAGCCATAAAATTAATCAGCACTGTGGAAGGAAGGATGGATGGATAGACAGACAGATAGATAGATAGAGAGATAGATAGAGAGATAGAGATAGTGTGTAAGGATTAGATAGGCTTTATCTATTGCAACATAATTTTTAGATGTGGTCTTGAAAATTTTTCTTGCAGTGACCTTCACCTATATTCTCTTGGCTTTTGTCCCTGATTTCTCTACCTTTAGATGTGCTACTGCAGGAAACCTTCCTCTGCAGCTCAGCTCCTGGCAGTGTCTTATCAGGAGTGCAGAAGCTCCAGAAAGAAATCAGTGTCCTTAGGGGAGCAGGTTTGAATAGGATACATTTATTTAGGACAACTTTTGAATGATTGTGAATATCCTCCACAGGCAGGATTCAACCAGCAAGGTCATGGGCATGTATTTCTGAGGTCAGCCTGTAACTGAAAGGCTTTATGTTAAGTATAAAAAAAAAGGAGGTGGGGAGGGTAATAATAAGTGTCAGTTAAAAGAGGTTATTTTGTTTGTTTGTTTGTTCGTTTGTTTTAACAAAGTGAGATGAATCTCCCTAAACCAAGTCAAAGAGGCTTTAAATTTGAACTTTCAAAAAAACAGAAGAGACTAAGAGGCTCAGGACATCTGTGATAGTCACAATGGACAGCTGTCTGGCTTTTAAAATAATCAAGACTGTGGATGGCAAATAAATCCAGATTCACAACTTAATTATTGCATAAACAGTGATTTCCCTTAACCTTTTAAGCTTTAGTTACCTTGAGTATAAAATGAGCCTGGTAATATTCAGTGAAATTTTTCTGAGGATAAAATAATATCAGTGCATGAAGTGCTATTACGCAGTGACTAGCACATAGTAATGCTATCTTTCGCTTAAATAAATTGAGGATGATAATAATACCATAAATAACTGAAGATATAATGATTTGTTTCAATGCAAACTCATCAAATAAGTGACTACATTCAGAGGTCTACAGAGACCATTCTTTTTTCTCTAGAATACTGGGTGGAATGGTGAATTAATTCATGAATTAATTCCAAGCAAAATTATAAAGAGGTTGTAAATAAATACATCCATAATAGGTTAAATAGCCAGTAACACTCAGTGTTTTTATCCCTATTTCTTAACTTTGACATACATTATATACCACAGAATAAAAAATACTGGAACACATAAGTGATTATTGTTCTTAGTTTTTAGAAATCTATGATCTAAGTGAGAAGAAAAATATATTCTGACAATGAACTCATTTGAGCATTATTCTAAAAAAGTTTTCTCTTGAATTCTTACTCATAACCTTCACAATGTGCATTGTATGTGAATTAAGTTTAATATTTATTTGAACATCAAATCCATTCAAAAGACATTTGTAATGGAAAAACAATATTTATCCCATAAAAGCATGAGGGGATACAGTCTCATAAAAAAACTATTTTCCACATAATATATCCTTAGGTAAGACGTAGAGCTTATACATTTCTTCCTTGATGCATATTATTACGTGCTCTTCTCAAAGGAAACAGATTTGAAAGGAAACAGATTTGAGATTAAAGTCCACAGAAGAATATATATAAAATAGATTATTTTTTGTAACCATTAAATTTGAATAAGGGATATTTAGTAAGAGAGGAAAAAGTTAACATAAGTGCATAGTTTCATGTAATTTCAGAGAAGTCTTTTAAGAAGTTTTTTAATTTATATTTTTAGTATTTGCTTAGTGTCATAAAATTAATAAATATCAGAGCAGGTATTTCTACACTATTTTCAATGTTTATGTACTTCTAATCTTGAGGAGGTTTTATGTCTCTGAATATATATAATCCCATAAAATATTTTAAAATAAAATTAAATATATGCAATTATAAAATTTTGGAAATTCAAAAAGGGATGGTTTAAAGTATCAGTAACATTCACTAGAAACTGCTAAAATCTATATTTGTTCTGTGATAACATCATAGTTTTGTTCTTAAGAAACTTGTATAATAATAGAGTGAAATTTTTTATTTTAATAAGTAAGATTTTTGGAGGCTAATATAGTTTGGGATCATAACTCTTCACTTATTTTTATTCCTGACATAAGTTTAAATAGCACAAATGTTTTGTTATTTCTAAATGAATAGTTAGGAAACCAAAACATCACTGAACAAATGCAGCTTTATGTTATGTCTATCAGCTGACATAGCTTCTAAAACTTGAATAACAAAATTATTCCTCACTGAAAGAGGAAAAAAAACAACCTTAAAGCCCATTAGTTGATTTAGTTATTAAATATATGTGAACATAATTTCAGGTATAAAAGTTTAATAGCCATTATAAAACTTTAAAAGTGAAACAGGATCATAGATAAAACAAAATTATGCATCATACTGAATAGGCAATAGTTGAAAGCTTTTCCCCTAAGAATATGAAGGAGAAAAGGATGCCCGCTTTTACTATTTCTATTCTATATGTTATTGGAAGTTCTGGTCAGAGTAATCAAGTAAGAAAAAGAAATATAAGGCATCCAAATTGGAAAAGAGAAAGTCAAATTATCTCTGTTTGTGAATAATATGATTTTATATCTAGGAGAACCTAAAGATTCTACCAAAATATTTTAGATTTAATCAAGTAATTTAGTAAGGTTTTAGAATATAAAATCAAAGTACCAGAATCACTAGTGTTTTTATACATCAATAATGATCCAGCTAAGAAGCAACTCAAGAAGGCAATCCCATTTACGATAACAACAAAAAAAATCTAGGAATATATTTAATCAAGAAGGTTAACAGTCCCTACAAGAATAGCTACAAAACCTGAATGAAAAAAATTATAGGTGATACAAACAAATGAAAAGACATCCCATGCTCATGGATTAGAAGAATTAATATCGTCAAAGTGACCATATTGCCCAAAGCAATCTACAGATTCAGTGCAAATAAATCTTTCAAAATACTAATGTCATTTTTTAGAGAATTAGAAAAAAAAATCCTAAAATTCATATAGAACCACAAAACAGCCCAAATAGCAAAAAAAGTCCTTAGCAAAAAGAAAAAAAGCTGAAGATATCACATTTTCTGACATATTCTACTAAAAGGCTGTTGTAATCAAAACATATTGGTACTGGTATAAAAATAGGCACATACATTAATGGACCACAATAGATAACACAGAAAAAAACCCCACATATCTATAGCCAACTGATCTTTGATGAAATAAACAAGAGCATACACTTGGGAAAGGACAACCTTTCAATAAATGGTGCCAGGAAAATTGGGCCACCAGATGCAGAAAAATTAATTCGGACCCCTATCTCTCACCATAAACAAAAATCAATGCAAGATGGATTAAAAACTTAAATATAAGACCTAAAACTACAAAAATCCTAGGATAAAACCTGGGAACAACTCTTCTGGACACAGGTTTGTGCAAAGAATGCATGACAAGGACATCAAAAGCACAGGCAAGACAAACAAAAATAGACACATGAGACTCAATTAAACTAAAAAGCTTTCTTGCACATCAAAGAATAATCAACAGATTAAACAGACAACCTGCAGAAGAGAAGAATATATTTACAACTATGCAACTGATAGAGGATTAATATCCAGAATTTACAAGGAAGTCAAACAACTCGACAACAACAAAATAATCCCATTAAAAAGTGGACAAAAGGGCATGAATAGACATTTCACAAAATAAGACATAAAATGACCAATATGAATATAAAAATGTTCAACATCACTAATCATCAGAAAAATTAAAATCAAAACCACAATAAGTATCATCTTACACCAGTCAGAATGGTTATAATTAAAAAGACAAAAATAACAGATGTTTGTGGGCATAGAAAGAAAAGGGAACTCTTATACACTGTTGATGGAAATGTAAATTAGTACAACCTCTGTGAAACAGTATGGGCATTTCTTAATGAACTAACATAGAACTATCATTTGTTCCAGCAATCCCACTGCTGGGTAGCTACCCAAAAGAAACTCATTGTATCTAAAAGATGCCTGCATTTGTATGTTTATTATGACACTATTTGCAATACTAAAGATATGGAATCAACCAAAGTGTATTTCCCCATCTCTCCTATTCTATTACAACCACAAACCACTCCAAGTACTCTATTTGCAAGATGTTCAAATAGTGTGCCCTGACTTGCATGGGACTCTCTGTTCTATCGGTTATGTATCCTTCCTTTTTTCTTTCTTTTTTAAAAATTATAGTAAGAACCTTTAACATGAGATGTACCCTCTTAATGAATTTTTAAATGTACTATACAGTATTGTTAATTGTAGCCTCAGTATTGTACAGCACATCACTAGAACTTATTCATCTTGCATAACTAAAACTTTCTATCCAGTGAATAGCAACTACCAATACCACTTTCCAAACAGACTCTAGCAACCTTTATTCTGTTCGCTGCTTCTAGGAATTTGACTACTCTAGGTATCCTATATAAGTGGAATTATGGTATTTGTCTTTCTGCATCTGTCTTACTTCACTGAGAATAACATCCTTAAGGTTCATCCATATTGTCACACGCAGCAGAATTTTCTTCTTTTTAAAAGCTGAATAATATTCCATTGTATGTCTATACCACATCTTGTTTACCTATTCATCTGTCACTAAACATTTAGTCTATTTCCATATTTTGACTACTGTGTTTAAAGCTTCAATGAACACGGGAGTTTAAAGAAGACATAATAATGGCCAACAGGTATATGGAAAGGTGCTCAGCATTATAATCATTAAGGAAATACAAATTAAAACACAATGAGATATCACCTATCATGTTAGAAAAGGGAACTCTTATACACTGTTGATGGAAATGTAAATTAGTACAACCTCTGTGAAAAGAGTATGGACATTTCTTAATGAACTAAACACAGACCTACCATTTGATCCAGAAATCCTACTGCTGGGTATCTATCCAAAGGAAAAGAAATCATTATATCTAAAAAATACCTGCACCTGTATGTTTATTACAACACTATTAGCAATACTAAAGATATGGAATCAACCAGAGTTCATAAATGAATGATTAGATTAAAAATGTGGCATATATACACAATGGAATACTATTTAGCTATAATGAATAATGAAATTATGTTGTTTACAGCAACACAGATAGAACTGGAGACCATTATTTTAAGTGAAACAAATCAGACACAGAATGACACATACTGCATGTTCTTACTTCTAAGTAGGAGGTAAATTATGTATACACATGGATGTACAGAGTGGAATAATAGAAATGGATAGAAATGATACAAATGGATAGACATGATAGAGTGGAATGGTGAGAGGGTTGGAGGGGAGTGGATGATGAAAGATCACTTAAGGTGTACAATTTATATTATTTGGGTGATGGATACCCTAAAAGCCCTGACTTTAGCCACTACATAATCTGTGCATTTAAAAAAATTATACTTGTACCCCATAAATTTATGCAAATTTATACATAAAACCCCATAAATTTATACAAATTAAATATTTATCAAATAGATCATTAATCTCATGTGAAGGATGAGGTTATGTATAGTAGTTTAACTCCTGTTTTCGACTGAGTGCATGATACAGGCATTTTTCTTTGAATTCTGCATGACTATGCTATGTGAACCTTGTGATGACTCAGGTTGTAAGCCACTTTTCTATGTTTAAATTGCAGTGAAATCTTCCTTATTACAAAATACAGAGATCTCAGTTTGCCTTCACTGAATGCAAATGCAAAACTTAGGTTTCATTTTCCAATTAACTTGAAAAAAGTAAATAAATAACAAACAATTACTATCTGGTACCCACACAGATAGAGCATTACAAATTAATAACAAAATAAAACATACATAGTAACACATTTTTCATAAATTCTGCTTAATAGATCATTTAAGGATTCCTGTATACCAATAATTTCTAGAAAATCTCACCATTGAATAACCATTTAACTTTATGTAATTTAGCATTTTCCAAACTTCTGTTTTTAAACCACAGTGTCCTTAGTAACATATCTAGCAACACAGTCGACAATTGCTATATTAGGCTTTCAATTAATTTTAAAAAGCACTTTTATATAATTGTTCCTATTTAAAATGTATTATTTCAAGCATCTTGTTCAGCTAATTATAGTGAATACCAACGATGAAAAAAATATTAAGTGCATGAAATTAAGTAAATACAGCCAGTGGGAAGCAATGAGAACTTACATTTTTCTCTTTTTCTTCTTCTTTTTATGAAAAAATAGCCTGCTGAATTTAAATTAGTGAGTAAACAGGGTATTTTTATCTTCATACTTTATCATTGTAAAATATTAATTTTGCCTGTTGTAAAATATTAATTTTGCCTGAACCTAGAATATTTAAAAGTGTTTTTTTTTGGTCAAATTTGATAGTCTAAATAAGGAAGTTTTGAAGAATTTAAGTGTATTGGCAGTTGTGATGGGGGCAGGGAACTATATATCCAACAATAAAGTTCTATTTTAATAAATGTTACTTTAGTGCTATTGATGAAAAATAATTAAGATATGAGGGAAAAATCAAAAATACAAAGTATATATAGTGGAGTATGTCATTTAACAACAGATATACCACAAAGAAGAGAAGATGTCGGTGACAAGTGATTAGAAATTATTATGCGAAGTATGACATACATATTCATATTACAAGAAATAAAGCAGATGCTCAAGAAAGTAAGAAAAAGTCCTGGTGAAAACTCCAAACTATATGACTATATGCCCATGTCTGCTTCTTTGAATATCATATCAAGTTATTAGACCTCTCTAGATCTTTTTCTGCTTATGTCCCTCAGACACCAAGGACTTTATCTTGCATACAGAACTTTTTTCTAACTTCTCTTACACTGTGTCAGTTCCATATATTTCTTGAGACCCTTTTCAATCTGGGTGCATTATTAAGTGGGGAACTGGAAGAGAAAATGCTGTCAATTGTACCACTCTCATTTCCGCTTTTATTTTCAAAGTGACATAATTTCTTTTAGACTCTCATCCCTAAAAATTGATACCTGACTACAAATAGTCTTCCATGTCACTCGTCTTCACTACCTTAGCTTGTTAATATATTTATGTATGTATTTAAAATATATTTATGGGTACTTTTCTCCACCGCAGGCCAACCGCTACCTCAGAGGTTGAAAAGAGAGTGCAAAACAGCAGAAATCACTGATCATGAAATCGTGCATCTAACGTGATCAAAGTTAAGACTGAAATAATGGATGCATATAGAAGTAGTAAGAGTGTAGGTGAAATCGTGTCTGGAATTTATTCCTTCTGGTGGGTTCTTGGTCTCGCTGACTTCAAGAATGAAGCCGCGGACCTTCGCGGTGAGTGTTACAGCTCTTAAAGATGGTGTGTCTGGAGTTTGTTCCTTCAGATGTTGAGATGTGTCCAGAGTTTCTTCCTTCTGGTGGGTTCGTGGTCTCGCTGACTTCAGGAGAGAAGCTGCAGATCTTCACAGTCAGTGTTACAGCTCTTAAAGGTGGTGCATCTGATGTTGTTTCTTCCTTCTGGTGGGTTCGTGGTCTCGCTGACTTCAGGAATGAAGCTGCAGACCTTTGGAGTAAGTGTTACAGCTCATAAAGGCAGTGCGGACCCAAAGAGTGAGCAGCAGCAAGATTTATTGTGAAGAGCAAAAGAACAACGCTTCCACAGCATGGAAGGGAAGGAGCTGCTTGCAGCTGCTGGCCCCTGTGGCCACGTTTTCTTCCCTTTTTGGCCCCGCCCACATCCTGCTGATTGTCCATTTTACGGAATGCTGATTGGTCCATTTTGCAGAGGGCTGACTGGTGCATTTTTACAGAGTGCTGATTGGTAAGTTTACAAACCTTTAGCTAGAAACAGAGCACTGATTGGTGCGTTTTTACAGAGTGCTGCTTGGCCCGTTTACAAACCTTTAGCTAGACACAGAGCACTGATTGGCGCGTTTACAATCCTTTATCTAGACAAAAAAAGTTCTCTAAGTCCCCACCTGAATCAGAAGCCCAGCCAGCTTCACCTCTCAAAATGATGACAGAAATTTCTTCCTGGAAATGATAATAATATAAGTCATACAGCATTAGTAGGAACTACATTGGCAGAATTTTCAAGAAAGAGGCTGGGGTTTATCCTATAGGTTTGTTTTACTGGGGGAGTGGGCAGATGTTTATATATATTCATCAAATTGATATAACCTTTATAAAAGCAGAGAAAATTTATGTGGCCCAATTCTAGCCCTGTCTAATGAAATTACATTAACATAATACAGTAATAGAAAGTTTTTAAATTGACATTATTATATCAAAGTGCATCAAAGTGTGTTTGTTTTACGTATCACAATGTTTATTAAAACTGTATTTCCCCATCTCTCCTATTCTATTACAACCACAAACAACTCCAAGTACTCTATTTACAAGATGTACAAATAGTGTGCCCTGACTTGCATGGGACTCTCCTTTCTATTGGTTATATACCATTCCTTTTTCTTTTTTTTTTTTAATTGTAGTAAGGACCTTTAACATGAGATGTACCCACTTAAAGAATTTTTAGGTGTACAATACCGTATTGTTAATTGTAGCCTCAGTATTGTACAGCACATCACTAGAACTTATTCATCTTGCATAATTAAAACTTTCTATCCAGTGAATAGCAACTACCCCTACCACTTTCCACACAGACTCTAGCAACCTTTATTCTATTCTCTGCTTCTTTGAATTTGACTACTCTAGGTATCCTATATAAGTGGAATCACAGTATTTGTGTTACTGCGTCTGTCTTATTTCATTGAGAATAACATCCTTAAGGTTCATCCATATTGTCACATGAGGCAGAATTTTCTTCTTTCTAAAGGCTGAATAATATTACATTGTATGTTTATACCACATCTATTTATCCATTCATCGGTCACTGAACATTTAGTCTATTTCCACATTTTGACCACTGTGTATAAAGCTTCATTGAACGCAGGAGTGTAAAGAAGACATAATAATGGCCAATAGGTACATGGAAAGGTGCTCAACATTATAGTCATCAAGGAAATGCAAATTAAAACACAATGAGATATCACCTAACATGTAGAACAACTATGATTAAAAGGATAAGAGAGAGCAAGTGTTGGTCAGGGTGTGGAGAAATTAGGAAGCTTTGTGCACTGTTGGTGGGAATGTTAAATGGTGCCGCCACTATGGAAAACAGGATGGAAATTCTTTAAAAATTAAAAATATAATTGCCATATGATCCAGCAATCCCAATTCTGGTATGTGCCCAAAAGAATTGAAATCAGGATTTCAAAGAGATAAGTCTCCTTTTTCTGAGCAGCTTTTCATTGGATTTGTATCTTTTCTCTTTAGAGATTCTTAATGACATAAGGAACAAAGAATTATTATTTTCTAGTTCTCTCTAATTTCCCCTCTTCATAAAATTTTCTGTTCTGGAAAGGATAAAAAGCAGGAAATTCGGTGTGCAGAAAAATAAAGAAATTGGGCTATTTCAGGTAAACATCAGGTTTCACTTTTCTGAAAATTTATTTCACATAGTATACATTCTCTTTCCCAGAAGAGAAATTAGTCAGCTGGAACCTATACAACAAGTCAGATAACGTAGGTGAGAGGATCCATTCACCGGCTATTAAACAAGAGCAAATATTTTACCAACAACTTAAGTGCACTTCACTTTACTTGTGTTTTCTGGTTCCATGTGCCTTACTTTGAAACCTTTATATCAACTTTTGCTCTTAAATCTTTTTTCATGTAATGTAGGTTTTCTGTATGACACCTGTAAACTCAAAAAGTAAATTAATTCAGAAATCAATGCAGGATTTGTCATTGTTAAAACTGGCAGAAGGAGAGGGGTTTTCTGTTTGTTTGTTTTTTGTTGTTGTTTTCTTTTGTTTTGTTCCTTTTTAAAATATCTTAAGTCTCAACAGACTTATTCCAACTGTCAGGCTTTCTTTAAACCAATTGGCCCTCATGTAAATAGTTACTCACCTTTGAAATTTTAACACCCAACAGAAATATAAATCTCAAAAGCTACAAAAAGAAATGTTGTCCTAAGTTAAGGACAATTGTTTCCCAATATAAACATAAAATAATGATTAGATGTGGAGTACTTCCTCACTCCGCATGTAGATGAGGTTAGAATTAAGATTGAAAACCCTGAATATACAAAGTCCTTAGGAGCACCAGGTTTACATGTTTTCACTCTCTGCTTCTTAGATTCCTTGGGATTCTATAACAAATCTCTAGAATTCGCTTAGTGATTCCAAATTCCTAAAAGATATTAATCTTTGGAATTTGATAACGAGAGATCAGAATTCCCAGGAATATTCACGAATTTCTGAAATCATACATTCTGTATTGTCATAGCATTTAAAAATATATCTTAAAATAATATAATGAGCAGTTAAAAAAAAGTGAATCTTCTTGTGACAGGATTGTATTAAATATCTCAGGGGAGATTTTGTCAAAAAATATATAGAATATATACATGGTTTTTATTATCAACAAATATGATAAGATTATTTAAATAGTATGTAAAATGAATGCTGCCTAATATAAATATTTAATAATAAAAAATATGAAAGAAGGGAAACTTATCACTCAATGAATGCAAAATAAAGTAAATTAAACTTAAAATATAATAGCAGAGATAATTAATATTTAAAAGTTATTATCTTTAAAATTGAAAGTTCAAAATGCACAAAGACCATCTCATAGCCTTAATTTATTTTCTACAACAAAATTTCCAGACAGAAAAATTCCTTTCATTTTGCATTGATGCTGGTTGAATTACTATAAATTCACCCAAAATCATGTTCATGTTTGAGGATATATGTTATTTCAATAAACCTTTACTTTTTTAATGAAAAATATTTTTGTCTACTTGTCTTAATTTTAATTTTTCCATAAAAATATGAACTGCTTTTTCTACTTCAGATTTTAGATCAGTTTCTAATTTTATGTTAGAGTATTTCACAGCACATTCATATATTCTTTTTGCATTTATTCTCTAAAAGATTAACATTACATAGTGAGTATTCAAACACAGAGAAATCCCAGTGAACATTATTGAGTTGTATTTGAATAAGATAACATGCAGGACTCCTAGAAAGGATAACTGTACTATCCATAAATTTGTGTTTACATTATCACTTTAAAAATTTATTTTGCCTCTAAAAGTTGTTACTTTTTGGAACACCACTCAAAGATTTGTTCAAAGCATACTATGAATCTAAAGTAATTAATATTTAACTGATTTGCATGCATAACTCATCTTTGGCAGCCATACATAGTACCATAAACATTCACTTATAACATGGCAACAGCTACGAGGAAGATTAAATTACCAGATTGTTATTGCTTATTTCCTATGTACTCCTATCCTGGTTCCCAGAAATGTCCACTTCATTCCTTAATTCCACATATTGATGTTTCAGCTCTTGCTTTCTACTTGTTACCAAATGAATCATTTAATCCAGTGACGTTTCCATATTGACTGTGAAGCTATTATTTTCAAAGTGTAATTATAATATATATATTTTTAATTTTCCTAAATAAACTTTTCCTCAGAAATCAGTGGCACAATAACACAAAAATACAATATTCATGTCATCAGAGCCCCAGAAAAAGAGAGGAAAGAGTTTGATGTTTAAAAAAAAAAATGAAGAGAAATAAACACACAGATTCAAGGAGCTCAGTGAAATCTAAGTAAGTCCTCCAAAAATACATGCCTTGAAATATATTCAAACTGCTGAAAACTGAAGACAATGAAATAAACTTTTTATATAGCCACAGGAAAATAAACTATAAGGAAGAACAGTCCCAATGAATAAAGATTTCTTATCGCAAACCTAGGAGGCTTAAAAAAGTGACTACTCTTTTATAGTGGTTAAAGAAAAACAAGAAACAAAAAAACAGAAAAAACATGTCAACCCAGAATGCTATGTCCAGTAAAATTATATTTCAGAAGTGAAGCTGAATAAAGGCATTTTCAGTTTAAGAAAAACTGACAGAATCTGTTACCATCAGTCTTGCTCTCAAATTATCAGCAATGGATGTACTCTCTATAGAAAGAAATAATATCAGAAGGAAACTTAGAATGTTAGGAATAAAGAAAGAGCAACAAAATGATAAATATCTTGGGTAAATATAATAAACCATTCTTCTCCTTTGAGTTCTTTAAAATGTTTGACAGTTGAAACCAAAAATGGGCCAGGCCCAGTGCCTAATGTCTGTAATCCCAGAACTTTGGGAAGCTGAGGTGGATGGATGACTTGAGCCTAAAAGGTTGAGAACAGCCTGGGCAACATAGTGAGATCTCATCTTTATCTTCTAAAAATAAAAATGTAAAAAAAGAAAGCAAAAATGACAATATTATTTGATAAGGTTTTCTCTCTCTATATCTATATAGCTATGATATAAAAATTATAACAAAGAGGAAAGTAAAGTCATCTGTACGGTGGTGAGGTTTTGATATCTCAATTGAAGTTATAACATGTTGATACTAACTATACTGTAAAAATATTAAGAATCTATATTGTAATCATTAGAATAGTTTTAAAAAACATTAAAAAGTTATAATCAATAGAAAAATTAATTGGCAATACTAAAAATATTAAAATATTCCAAAAATGTAGGAAAGTAGAAAGAAAAAAAGAGATAACACAGAAAACCAGTAATAAAATTATAGATTTGATCCAAACATATCAAAAATGTAAAGTATCTAAATATAACAAAAGAAAGAGATTGTGAGGATCAATTTTATTTTATTTTTATTTTAAATTTTTAATTTTTTTATTGTTTTGAAACATAGTCTCACTCTGTCACTCAGGCTGCAGTGTAGTAATACAATCATTGCCTATTGCATCCTTGAACTCTTGGGCTCAAGTGACCCTCCCACCTCAGCCTCGCCAGTAAGTGGGACTACAGGCATGTACCACCACACCTGGCTAATCTTTTTAAAAAAAATTTTTTGGTAGAGACGCAATCTCCCTGTGTTTCCCAGGTTGTTCGCAAACTCCTGGCTTCAAGCAATCCTCCCACCTTGACATCCCAAAGTGTTAGGATCACAGGCATAATAAGTCACTGTGCCTAGCCCAAGAATGGATGCTAAAATAAAGATATGACCCAACCATATGCTATGTATGAGAAATTCACTTCAGGTCAGAAACAGTGGCTCATGTCTGTAATCCTGGCACTTTGGGAGGCCGAGGCGAGGGATCACTTGAGTCCAGGAGTTCGAGACCTGCCTTGGCAACATGGTGAAATCCCATCTCTACAAAAAAATTAACCAAGCATGGTAGCATGGTAGTACGTGCCTGTAATCTCAGCTACTCAGGAAGCTAAGGTGGGAGGATCACCTGAGCCAAGGAGTTTGAGGCTGCACCACTGCAGTCTAGCCTGGGTGACAGAACAAGACTCTGTCTCAAAAGAAAAAAAAAAGAAAAGAAAAAATAAATTCCCTCCAAATATAATGCTATAAGTCAAATAAAAGTAAAAAACTAACAGAAAAAAAAATAAAGACATACTATGCAATGCTAATCCCGAGAAAGACGGAGTAGTTACCTTTATATCAGAAAAGAAGACTTCTAGTCAAAGAAAAGTACTAGAAATAAAAAGAGGCATGGCAAATAATAAAAGAATCGATTCTCTAAGAATAAAAAATTATTGCCGTGCGCGGTAGCTCAGCCTGTAATCCCAGCACTTTGGAAGGCCGAGGAGGGCAGATCACAAGGTCACATCAAGACCATCCTGGCTAACACGGTGAAACCCCGTCTCTACTACAAAATACAAAAAATTAGCCGGGCCTGTTGGTGGGCGCCTGCAGTTCCAGCTACTCAGGAGGCTGAGGCAAGAGAATGGCGCGAACCCGGGAGGCGGAGCTTGCAGTGAGCCGAGATCGCGCCACTGCACTCCAGGATGGGAGACAGAGTGAGACTCCGTCTCAAAAAAAAAAAAAAAAAAAAAAGAAAGAATAAAACATTATTATACCTCTCTATAGAGCTTTAGAATATACAAGCATAATCTGACCAAAATGAAAAAAGAAATAGATTAATCCACAATAATTAGAGATGTAAATTCTTTCACTTAGTAAAAAGAAAAATTAATATTAACAAAATCAATATTAGCATAAGAAAACTGAGCAATACCACTGATCAACTGACTCTAATTGATATTTATACAGCATTTGACTGAACAACAAAACAATATGCATACAAGTATACATGGAACATGCACCGAGAAAGATAATATCTTGGGTAATAAAACTAATCTTAATATTTTTTAAATAATAGAAATTATATGTTATGTTATTGGATTACAGTAAAATTTAATAAGAAAGCAGTAACAATCATTTACCTTATTAAAGCCTTATATTGACACTTTTTTTTTTAACAGAGTCTTGCTCTGTCGCCCAGGCAGTGGTGCAATCTCAGCTCACTGCAACCTCCAACTCCTGCGTTGAAGTGTTTCTCCTGCCTCAGCCTCCCAAGTAGCTGGGATTACAGGTGTCTGCCACCACGCCTAGCATTTTTTTGTATTTTTAGTAGAGACGAGGTTTCACCATGTTGGCCAGGCTGGTCTTGAACTCCTGACCTCAGGTAGTCCACCCACTTTAGCCTCCCAGAGTGCTGGGATTACAGGCATGAGCCACTGCGCCTGGCCGACAGTTGCTTTCAAAATCCCATTCACGTAAAGCAGGTTTCCATGCAGTACATAAAATCTCAAAAATCTCCTACAAAATATTACTGAATAAATAATATTTGATAACATAAATAATATTGATAAAACAGAATTCTATATATATAATTATGTATATATAGAATTCTATATATAGGATTAAATATATATATTTAAATAAACCTATAACCAACTGTGGTTTTTCACAAGAATGAAAGTCTTGTTTAATATGTGAAAAAAAAATCTCACTATCTAAACAGTCTAATGAAGAAAATCCACATGATCATACAAATTCATGCAGAAAAAGTAATTGACAAAATTCAACATCTATCTGAATGAAAATTCACAGAAAACTATAAATAGAACTTCCTCAACTTGATAAAAGCCTATTTTGAGAGCTACAAGCTAAAATGGGATTCTAGTGCCAGAGAGATTAGCAACCCTGTCTTAACGAAAAATGAATAGAAGCTGAGCATGTGTGTTTACTGTGTCCTTCATGAAATACTTCTTTTACCTGACTGATGGCCTAACGCCTAGTTGTCCTGCTAATGACCAGGGGTCCCTCACCCAGAAAACTTGATTATGTTGGCAGATGCCCTTGAGGCTCTTGTCTGACATGTGTCCTGGTATGTGTCCAGTTACATGCCTAACATATTGTCTGATATGTGTCCAGTTATGCCTGCCTAACAGTTGCTTTAGCACTGGGGCCCTGCCTTGTGTTCTCCCTGACATGCCAGGGTAAACCTAGCTTGGGGATGGCCCCTAGTTCTTCAGATGGAAAGTGAAAATTCAATACACTACCACAATAGAAAAAACATTCAAATATTTTTCCCTACAGATTCTGAGCCGGCAGGGCACAATGTGCTGGGAGGGCAAACCTCAGGGTTACTAGGTTACATGAGGCAGGAATGAAGTGTCAGGAAGAGGGAGAGAGAGTGAGAGAGAGAGCATTGCAAATAGCAAAATACATACATAGAGAATAGGATGTGGGTCACTTTAAATTTGAAGGCAAATGCTTAAATGGCCCCTTTGGAGGAAGCAGCAGCAAAGCGAGGAGCCCAGTCTGCTAGGTGGGAAAGATGTCTCTAAGTTCTTATCTCTGGCCATAGATTTGGTATTCTATTTCTAATATCTAGGCAGTAGATATTAGAAATTTAGACATTTCTAAATTTGCTGTGGCATTCTTATTACAAGGGCACCTACAAGAAAAACTATAGCTAACTTTATACTTAATTATGAAAGACAAAATTATTTCCCCCTAAGTTCAAGAACAAGGTAAGGATGTCTAGTCCCATTAATATGTCATTCCTATTAAACAGGAAGCTCTAGCTAGTGCAATAAGACAAGATATACTTTTAGGCCGGGCGCATTGGCTCACGCCTGTAATCCCAGCTCTTTGGGAGGCCGAGGTGGGCAGATCATGAGGTCAGGAGATTGAGACCATCCTGGCTAACACGGTGAAACCCTTCTCTACTAAAAATACAAAACATTAGCCAGGCGTGGTGGCGGGCATCTGTAGTCCCAGCTACTTGGGAGGCTGAGGCAGGAGAATGGCATGAACCTGGGAGATGGAGATTGCAGTGAGCCGAGATTGTGCCGCTGCCCTCCAAGCTGGGCGACAGAGCGAGACTCCGTCTCAAAAAAAAAAAAAAAAAAAAAGACGAGATATACTTTTAAAAAGGCATACAGATTTGGAATGAAGAACTAAAACTGCCACTGTTTGCAGGTGACATGATTGCCTAAGTAGAAAATCCTAAGGAACATAGAAACAAAATAAAACAATAAAATAATAAAATCTTTCAGGATTATTAAGTGACTTTAGCAAAGTGGAAGATGCATGACTAAAACACAAAAATCTACATTTCAATGTACTACCAAAGCAATTTATCAATATAGATGTAAGTTTAAAAATGTAAATATTTAAAATACTTCTAAAAAAGATTTAAATTAGCTCCAAAATAAAATACTCATTAATAAATTTATAAAACAGATTTAGAAACTATATTCTGAAAAGTTCAAGACACATGAAACAAATCAAAGAAGACCTTAATAAATAAAGATGCATACCATTTTCATGGATTGGAGACTCAAATTGGTAAAAATGTCATCCGTCCCATATTTTTTTGCAAATTTAATTTAATTTCAATAGAATCCCAGCAAGATATTTTTATTGACTTAGAGAAGCTCATTCTAAAATTTATTTCAGAAAGCAATGGAACTAGAAGAAGCAAAACAACTTTGAAAAGAAAAATAATAAAGTTAAAGGAATCATCTTACCCAACTTAAAAATTTTTTTTAATTTAACATTTTTTAAAAGATACTGTTAAAAAATTAAATGATTAGCTATGGAATGAGAAAATACATATTCAAATCACATGTCTGACTTAAAGACTTGTATCCAGAATATATAACAAAGTCTCAAAACTAAATAACTAGGAAGAAAACAAATGGGTCATTAGTAAATGGCCAAAAAACTTGAATAGATAATTCACCAAAAAGGGTTATGGTTGTCAAAAAAGCATATTTAAAAGATGTTCAATTTGTTAGTCATTAGAAATATGCAAGTTAAAAACATGCCATACCACTGCACATCTATTAGAAAAGCCATGAAAAATACTGTGAGTATCAATTGCACACAAGGATGTGGAGTAAGTTGAACTCTTGTATGTTATATATGTAGAGAACTGCTGAACATTCTTAAGCAATAGCAGATTCCCCATCTATTGTCTAAATAGCTTTAAAACAAAACAAAACTTAAAAATATTGTTAATGTAGAGAATCTTAAAATATTATCAGATTCTTTCAAATATTTACATGTCATTTCATTTAATTCCTCTATTTTATCTCTAACAAAATTGATGTGGTCTTCTGAATTTGTTTGCCTGTATGTGTTTGTTTTGCTTGTTATCTTGCCTTTGAGAAATGGAAATACAGAAACATCAATAATACATTAAAAGAGATTAAAGAAAAATAAAATATTTTATATTTCTATTTATTTATTCCATAAACACTTAGTAGCACACACCCTATCCCCAGCAAGATGTTAGTCACTAGGAATTAAGACAACAAACAAATAAAAACCAGTCAGAATGCCTGCCTTCAAAGGGCTCTTTGTCTCATAAAAGACACCAAAACGTAAGTCTATGATTAAAGTATACTGTGGTTTGGGTTACAGTAGAATTATCCACAAAATTTGGTAGATACACAGAAAACGGACCCAAAATATAGCCTCGAGGTATTTTTGAGACTTGGAAGATGAGTAGGAGTGAGCTAACAGAACACCACAGGAAGGCTATATATGCCAAGCCCAGGAAACGTGCTCAGATTTTTGTAAGTGTGGCACATTCAAGAAAGTGCAATTAATTTCATATGGTGAATGTATGGAGAAGTGGGAAGAGAGAGGAACCTGAATAAGACAGCTGGAGCCAGTAGATAATGGAACTTGTGCTTCATGTCAGGGAGAGCAAATCTAATGCTTTGGTTCTGCCTTTTATTAGCTCTAAAACCTAATCAACATCTTTGGAAATTCAGTGTGCAAAACTAGATTAAAACTATAGCTTTCTAGTTATGGGTGTGAGGAGAACTGTCAAAACGGTAAAACCAACAACATTTCTAGCTGGTATCCCCGGAGTATCCTCCCTAGCCAAAGTTTGGAAAATACTGCAGGAATAATTGGGTAGTAACAATGGGACTTCAGAAGATAAATGGTAATATCAGATTTATAATTTGGAGAGAATAGTATACATAAACAAGGGCAGTATTCACAGAGAGGGAAATCTCTGAAAAAGACAAAATTAAAAGCACCCTTTGGATTTAAGTGATCACCAATGTATGCCATTGTAACATGTAGTGGGCATGTGGGTGCCACAATATGAGACATTTTACATGGAGTGCCTAAAGGAAGTTTTCCAACTTTATGGCAATACAGAAGAGAGCTGACCTAAAATGTTAATAATTACACTCTGAGTTAACATCACACTCTGAGAATAACACACCGTTTTTTACCACAGCACACTTCTGTGACTCCTGGTCACCAAAATGTATGGAGATTCATCCCCACCACTAATCAATCAATTCTGCAGCAGATTCTCCAGAGGACATAAGTTAGGTGTCCTCTAATTCAATTCAATTCTCACACTACCTGCCGAGAGATAGCATCAGATCCAATAAGTTGAGGGCTCAGGCCCACAAGATTGCCCTTCAATTCAGATGCCAGTCGCAACCACAGATTTTGTCTATGCTTCTGACTGACTGGCTATAAATCGAGGCTCCCACCACCCCCTCCTGGGGTTCAATTAATTTGCTAGTAAGCCTCACAGAACTCAGGGAAACAAGTACTTACTTCTGTTTACTGGTTTATTATAAAGAATACAGATGAACAATCATTGCACAGAGCTAGGTATGTGGGAAGGGGCGCAGAACTTCCCTGTCCTATCACCCTCCAGAAACATCCATGTGTTCAACTATCCAGAAGCCAATGATAACGTCATTGGCCATTGGTGATCAGTTCAACCTTCAGCCCCTTTCCTCTCCACAGAGGTTCAGGTATGGGGCTGAAAGTCCCAACTCTCCAATCATGCCTTGTTTTTTTTGGTAACCAAGCCTCATCTTGAAGCTATCTAGGGATCCCCAGCCACCAGTCATCTCATTAGCATGCAAAAAACACTCGTCACCCTTGAAAGTCCAAGGATTTTAGGAGCTGTATGTTAGAAAACTGGGAAGAAGACCAAATATATCATTCACAATATTACATACACACGTTCTTTATCAGAACACATTGATCATAACAAATTGTTTAATGAATAATATACTGCAAATTTTTATCTAGAAGGAGAAATATCAGCTATTTCAACAATTCCTAATCAGGGTTTCTCTGTGTTCTGCAGGAATATTCATGTATTGCAAGTTCCCCAGGGATATGTATGCACATTTGAATTTGATGAGCTCTAAGTCTAGACTGTCACCTGGTTGAGAGCTCAGTCTCTGTCTTATACATTCAAACATTGCATATGTCTCTTACAGTGTTAAATGGAAGAACAGATTTGGGTAATATTTGCAGTTTTAACTTTTACAAATAATGGAAATGAGATTGAGAGAGGTTGTGAGGCTTGTCTAAAGTCACATAGTCCTGCAAAGTTCTCCTGAGATTCAAACTAGGTTACGTTACCTGATACAATGACCAAGGAATCCACTAATGAAACTGTCTTTGCAAAATTATGATAATAAGAGAAATCCGATATGACTGACTCCATCTTGCTTTTAGCCTCACAGGTTGGCTGTCTTTGCTCATGCATGGGCATGGGGCAAGCTAATTTGGGAAAAAATTTAGTATATAGTTTAAATGATAATAGCACTTTCCAAAAGCTAAACTGCCCTTGTAAAACTAAGAAAGGCCACCAAGTTAAGAAGATGAGAGGGACCTGAATTTTACTAAGATGTAGGTGTAGTCAAATGATTACTAACAATACAAATAATTTATTCCAGAGGTCACAAGATTTACAACTTCCTCAATTACTCCTGCAGGTAACATCACTATTCCTAATATTGGCCTTATGAGATGTCTTTTTAGATCTTTGCATTTATGAAAACCAGATGGCCCTACTTGGACTCGCTGACCGGTCCTATGGCCCCCACCCAGGAACCAACACAGTGCAAGAAGACAGCTTTGACTCCCTATGATTTCATCTCCAACCCAACCAATCAGTACTCCCCACTCGCTGGACTCCTACCAACCAAACTATCTGAAAAATTCCTAACTTCTGGGCCTCTGGGGAGACTGATTTGAGTAATAACTCTTGCCTTTTGCTTGGCGTGGCCCCACCTTATGTCAATTACACTCTCTTTATTGCAATGCCATGGTCTCTGTGAATTGATCTGCTTTGTGCAGTGGATGGAAGGAACTCTTTAGGTGGTTACACTAATATTTGTATTTACACACCCCCCAACCCAGAGACCCTGTTCTGTATTCCCCTGTGGATATTTCAAGTTTTTCATGGGGACAATGTATACTTAGATGAAAAGATTACTTTTAAGAATTAATACATAGTGAATAATGCTGTTTGAGTTTATTTTTGTTGTTGTTTTTTGAAAAACACTCAAGGGTGGTAAGGTGTATGTGTGTGTATGATAGGGGTAGGATATCAAGGCAAGGGAAATGACCTCCTCTCAAATTGTCATTTGCCAACAGTTTCAAGTTCTGTTCATATCTAATCTAATTGCTTACTGCAACTGAAGCCCAGAATGATAATTCCAATTTTACATAATGCTTTCCCTTTGGTCTCTTGAGGAGGTGCAAAGGATTTTTGAGAGTGAGAATAACCGGATGTCCAAAAGAAGCAGGAGATATACCAAAGGGGTGAACCCAAAGGATTTGAAGAATCTAACCAAGAGAAGACTCTTTTTAGTGAGTTGATTTTTTAATGTGCAAATGTGGACTAATAATTCCCTTTTATATCCTAATTAGGGTGTGAAGCTCCCTGGGGCTCTCAACAGCTCTTGGCCATTTGTTCTGCTGTACCTGAGAGTAAGTGCTGAGATTTTTTTCTGATTCAAGTCAGATTGACAGAGCATCTCCAAAAAATCCCCTGACCTGTTTAGAGTAAGGTGATAAATAATTAAGATGTTGGGAGAGATAGAAAGACTTTTACCTTGCCTGATCCTTTCGAAAGGCAGTGGGTTTTCAGATTGTAAGGCTCTGTGAGAATGTTCTAATGTTCTTTTCTGATGACTTAGACCTAAGAGAGAATCAGTAGGAAGTAAAGCAATTATACTCATTGTGTAACTTAATGACACAATGTAATGTGTCTGCTAAATGGATGTAAATATATGTGGGTTATTAAAGCAAGGTTATGGATCTGAAGAAAGCAATAACCAAACTTTACAACATTTATGACAATATTCAACAAGCTAATATTAAACAGACTTTTAAGGAGTTTCAAGCAACTTCATGTAATAGATGGAATTAACGAAAAAGAAACGGCAGCTCCAAGGAGTATCAATCCAATCAATCTTTTTCTCATTTTGTAATAATTTATTTGTATTTTTCTCCCAGACACTGTGAACATATGTGTTTATTTCTGCTTTGACATATTGGAACTCATTACCAAGCGGCTTTTTTTCTAAATATCCTCTGAAATATTTACACAAATTATAGACTTAAAACAATACTGCTTGTAAATTAACTTCTATTTTATTATTATTTTTCCTGTACTTAAGTCCAAGTGAATTCTAATCTCAGCATCTAATTGTGCTTCTGTTAATGGAGATAGGAAGAAGATCTCAAGGTTTAGAGCTCCCCATATGTGCTGTAAATTTGACATTTGTTTCAAAATACTGTTTTTGACACATATGCAGCACATAAACAATTTGTAGGATAATGTGACCTCCTTACATATTGATAGCATTCACTATTGCTGATATTATGGAGTGTTGATACCATACACTTGCTCTATGACAAACTGAGATTTTTACTTTTAATGTAATCCACAAGTAAAGAAAGTACTATAAAATTGTGGATTCTTAAAGTTTGTTTTAATGGTGAAAAAGATGTACAACATAAAATTTACCATTTTATTCATTTTAAGTGTATAGTTTGAGGGCTTTAGGTATAATCGCATTGCTGTGTCACCATCTCCATCATCTACCTTCAGAACATTTTAGCTTTTAAAACTAAAACTCTGCACCCATCAAACATTCCACCTTCTCCCTATCTCCTGACAACCCCTATTCTAATTCCAGTCCTTATGATTTTGACTACTCTAGGTAACTCAGGTAAGTGGAATTGTAGAGTATTTGTCTTTTTGTGCCTGGCTTATTTCACTTAGCACAATGTCCTCAGGGTTTATCCATGTTGCATATGTCACAATCTAATTTCTTTTTGAGGCTGAATAATAGTCTACTGTCTGCATTTACCACATCTTGTTCATCCATTCATCTGTTATGATGAACATTTGTGTTGTTTACACATTTTGACTAATGCAAATAATGCTGCTATGGACAAGGGTGTACAACATATGTGTTGGAGTTCTTATTTTTTTAATTTGGTTATATACCCAGAAGTAGGATTCCTGCAACATTTTGTAATTCTATGTATAATTTTTGAGGAATGGCCATATCATTTTTTTGCAGTTACTGCCCCATTTTAGATTCCCACCAACAATGCAGAGGGCTCCAATTTCTCCATATCCTTGCCAACACTTATTATGTTTTGTTTTGTTTTAAGTAAATCCATGCTAATGATGTGAACTGATACGTCACTGTGGTTTTGACTCGCATTTCCCTTATGATTAGTGGTGTTCAGCATCCATCTTTTCCTGTATCCATTGACTATTTGTCTATCTTTAGAGAAATGTTTATTCAAATTCCTTGACAATTTTAAAAAAATAACCTTGGGGTTTTTGTTGTTATTGAGTAAAATTATGTTCTTAATTGGATTTTACCCCATTTTAGTGTTTGTAAATTCATGGCTTTGAATTTTATTCAAGTGTCTTTACAACAATAAATGAGGTTTCGCTACATAAATTTTCATGGGTTGCCTCTTAGCATCATTCAGCATGGATTTACACAATTTACTAAATGCACCGGCCCATAACATAATTTAAGCTGAGCTGAACTGTTGTCTGCAGATTCATAGAAAAATGAAATAAGATCAAAAGAGCCAGTCCAGGTACCAGGTACTTTTTTTTTTTTTTTTGAGATGGAGTCTTGCCCTGTCGCCCAGGCTAGAGTGCAATGGCATGGTCTTGGCTCACTGCAACCTCCGCCTTCAGGGTTCAAATGATTCTCCTGTCCACCACCACGCCCAGCTAATTTTTTGTATTTTTGGTAGAGACGGTGTTTCACCATGTTGGCCAGGCTGGTCTCGAACTCCTAGCCTTGTGACCCACCCTCCTCAGCCTCCGAAAGTGCTGGGATTACAAGGCATGAGCCACCACGCCTGGCCCAGGTACTTCTTATAATCCACAGTTTACTCCAAAGGAGCTAAAAGAAAGCTACTAATTATTAGTTGTGTCTTACAAAAATAAAGAGTTGATGTTGTCAGAGGCATTGCAACCAGAGCAACTTCATCTTGAATAGGGGCTGGATAAAATAAGGCCGAGATCTACTGGCCTACATTCCCAGACGGCTAGACATTCTAAGTCATAGGATGAGATAGGAGGTCAGCCCAAGATACAGGTCATAAAGACCTTGCTGATAAAACAGGTTGCAGTAAAGAACCCAGCTAAAACCCACCAAAACCAAGATGGTGACGAGAGTGACATCTGGTCGTTCTCACTGCTACACAACTACCAGCACCATGACAGTTTACAAATGCCATGGCAATGTCAGTAAGTTACCCTACATGATCTAAAAAGGGGAGGCATGAATAATCCACCCCTTGTTTAGCATATCATCAAGAATTAACCATAAAAATGGGCAACCAGCAGCCCATGGGGCTGCTCTGTCCATAGAGTAGCCATTCTTTTATTCCTTTTCTTTCTTAATAAACTTGCTTTCACTCTATGGACCCACCCTGAATTCTTTCTTGCACGAGATCCAAGAACTCTCTCTTGAGGTCTGGATCGGGACCCCTTTTTGGTAACAATGTGATATAAGATGCAGTTTACCTTAGAAATAATAGAGTTGAATTTGGTTTAAGATGATATATTAATAGTAAAACACAAGTTAACATGTAGCAGAAACGAGATGTATAGAGCCTATTGCTTCTTTGACATCTCCAATTAGATGTCCATCCAAAAAGCAGGACTAAAATCATACTAAACTCACCCTTTCTCTCCAAATCCTGACATTCATTTCAGTTCTCTCCTCCAGGCAATACTGCTCCTACCCACTCATGTACTGGAGGCCAAAGCTTGGCAGGCCCCATCTCATACTCCTCTGCACGCTCTCTCATCCCTCCCCATTCAATCCAGGTATAAATTCTACCCCATAAATAGCTCACAAATGTATCGATTTCTTTCCATTCCTTTTGATATTTCCATGTCCCAGGCCATCTTGACTGGAATACTGGGACAACTTCACAACTGGAGATTCTGATTTCATCTTTATCTCTTTCCAACCCATTTTCTGTATCATAAATCCTTCCTGAAACACAAACTTGCTAATGTCTTTCTCTTACCTCATACGTATTTATAAGGTTCTTGTTACCCTCAGGATAAAGTCAAAAGCTCTGATTTAGCTTGAAAGGCCCGTTAGGACTGTGACATGCACATTTATCTCTGTATACTCTTTCTCTCTTCCTTCTTCTCTTTGCCCCACCCCGGAGCCTTAAGTAAATCCCCCAAATGCATATTCTCAACTTTAGAGCTTTGCTTATTTCATCATTTGTTTCTGGAACACACTTGACCTCTTCAAGCTTTGTAAGACTGACTTCTACTTCCGTTAGAGTAGGCAGATAGCTGGAAGCCCCCAAGAAAAGGGAAAAGTCTGAAAAGTCTCACACCCCTGGGACCACTGAAAACCTGCATGCTAGTTATAAACAGAGAGGAGGGGAAATACCCGAGCAGAAAGGAATGCCCCTTAAGATGCTCAGTAATTGCTCCCTCTGTAGTTACCCTACCTGAATGTAGGTTATATGCTCCTAAGGAGGGCAAAGGAGAAATCCCTAAGATACACTCCGGGGTAAAAAGTGCAGATTTAACCACTATGTGACCTTTCTGGGGTGGCAGTAATGAGCAACGCAGCCAATATGTAGGATTGCTAGCTAGCAACAGCCTGTACATGCGCACCAACTAAGAGTAAGGGTGGGGTACCACAGACCTGGGGCAGGAACTAGGAGGGGACAGGGCAGAGACCTAAAGCAGGAGCAGAAAACCTAGACAAAGAAAAAGGCAGAAACTTAAGACAGAGGTGGGAACTTCAAGAAAGGGTCTGAAATAATAAAAAGCCGGTGCGGAACTCTCAAGCTGCTGCTGGCTCAATCCCTTCGGCAGGCGCTCTGCTTCAGTTTTGCAGAGTGTACTGTCCCCTCAAATAAACTCTCTGCTATTTTCCATCAGTAAATTATCTTTTTGGCAAAATCAGTCATTTGGCAGAATGCTTTCTCCAAGAGGACAAAGAACTGAGGATTCCTGCACTTCCCGGTCACGCTTCTATACCAATTGTAAATTTAGAAGAAATTCTTTGGTTATCTTTTCTTGACTCTTAAATCTGGATAAAATGCCCCAATGCTCTGCTTTTGCTCCCCCAGTAATTTCCCTAAAGTAACTCATCACATTGTATTCTTTTATCCTTTTAATTCATATGACCCTCCACCAGATTGAAATTCCATGAGGGCAAGCAACTTATCTGTTTTGCACATAGTTTGATTCAATTCCCCAACGCGATTCCCAAGTATTAGGTCAGGGAACGCTAATTCCTTATTTCCCCGCCTCATCCCCCACAAAGTTAATATGTTGAGGTCCTAACTCCTCGTAACTCAGAATATAACTGTATTTTCAGATAGGACTTTTACAGAGGTAGTCAGGTTAAATGAGGTCATATGAATGGGCTCTAATTTAATATGACTGGTGTCCTTATAAGAAGAAAAGAAATCAGGGATGCAAGGGCACAGAGAAAAGATCATGTGAGAAAACAGCTAGAAACAGCTGTCTGCAAGCCAAGGAGAGAGGTCTCAGTAAACCAAACCTGCTAACACATTAATCTTAGACTTTCAGCCTCCAGGGCTGTGAGAAATAAATTTGTTGTTGAAGGCACGTGATCTGTGGTATTTTGCTATGGCAGCCCTAGTCGAATAATATTCTGGTAAATGTAGACAGTTAACAAAAATGTGTTGAATAAATGAAACTTGGCCATAATCAAGAAAGATTTTCATCAATTTTTAATTAAACTTTGCAGTGATTATTTTAATAACACAAGTTTTACACATACTTTGAGTAATTTACTCTGCTATATATTTTTCTCTGCTGTAACAATCTTGTAAGTTGGCCATAATTACCTCCAATTCTCAGATGAGGAAACTGAAGTTCAAGAAGTTTAACTGAATTATCTGAGGATATTCAATTAGTAGCAAAGTGAAATTTCAAAGTTCTGGTTTTGAATTACTGATTCTGTGTTCAGCATATTGTTATAACATAATATTAATACCTCCTGAATCATCTCTTCTAATCATGTTTACTTTACTTTGGTTTCCTTATAAACAATGCAATAGCATTATTTCTTATATGAACCTATTTATGTTATCATGAACATTTGAATTTAAATATGATTTCGTGGTATATCGTACTTTAGGAAACCAATAAATTATCCTTGAGAAATAGGATTTCCTCAATGTTTGGTCTAAAATTGGCTTGAGTCTACAAAGCACTAATTATTTGATGAATTTAGAGAATTCACATTAAAATGACAGTTTAAACAGTATATTTTGATGTGTTAAATGTCATATAATTAATACATGAGTGTTCATTTTAAAATAAATTAACTATTCTTACAGAACACATTTAAACCCATCTCTTGGCATTATGATACCACTGAAAGCCTATTAAACTCAGAGTTAAAGGCAACTGGCTTCACATCTTAGGTGGAAGACCTTCAAGTGACATGTTCTTGATATTTAGGTAATCTCTCTGGATGCCACTTTTATTTAAAATATAACGTGCACCTGAAAGAATGATTGTGAGAATGAAAAGAATGAACACATATAAAACCTCAACACAATGTTATTACTGTTAACTTTGTCATGAAGGAAGAAAGATTTCCTTCAAGATTTTTATAGCCAAATATCTCTTCAAAACCTAGAATAATGAAACCATATTTGAAAGCTATTAAAAAAAGAATTAAAAATAACAAGTTTGCATGCTTTATCTAGAGCAGTGTCCTACAAGTATAAAAGTCTGAAGCCATCTGAGGCTCTTCACCTAGACTGACACACTCTTCTCTTTTTTCTTGCAGTACTGACAAATATATCTATGTATTTGTAATCTTTGGAAAGCTGTTGGTTCCATCTTTGAGCTTTACAGTGACAACAGAGCTTGAAGAAAAAAAAAAAAGGCTGGTTCTTGGGTTGAACCTCGGGAATTTTGTTTCCAATTATAAAGGAGTGGAACTTTAAGCAGCCCGTAAGTTATCCTTAAGCCTGTTTCAGCACAGTTTTCTTATTATGTCTATAATTATTTCCTTTATTACTTAACAGAAGTTTGATTCTTTTCTCATCTTAAGGAAATTTTGAAATCATTAAACTACACAGATAACCAGAGGAAGGAAATGTTCTACTGATTCCAAAAACTTACTCCTGGTCTCTGCTATAGAGTGTGTGAAAAACAGCCTTCTGCAAATCTGGCATGCTCTAGCTGTATTCAGTTTGTTGTCAACTATGTCATGAGTTGATAAGCTTTGCCAAATTCACAGTGGAAGAAAGTGTTTTCTTCTTTCTTTCTTTCTTTTCTTTCTTTCTTTCTTTCTTTCTTTCTTTCTTTCTTTCTTTCTTTCTTTCTTTTCTTTCTTTCTTTCTTTCTTTCTTTCTCTCTTTTCTTCTACTTCTTTTTTCTTTTTTTTTTTGACAGAGTTTCAGTCTTTGTTGCCCAGGCTGGAGTGCAATGGCACAATCTTGAATTAGTGCAACCTCCACCTCCTGGGTTCAAGTGATTTTCCTGCCTCAGCCTTCCAAGTAGCTGGGATTACAGGCATGCACCAGCACACCTGGCTAATTTTATATTTTCAGTAGAGATAGGGTTTTGCATGTTGGTCAGGCTGGTCTTGAACTCCTGACCTCAGGTGATCTGCCTGCCTCGGCTTCCCAAAGTGCTTGGATTACAGGCGTGAGCCACCACACCGGGTGCTCTCCTTCTTTCTTAATAGGTGGAGAAGCTTCAGTTGTTTCTTCACTGTTTCTGACATATATATATATATGTATGTATTTTAAACTGGTCTAAATGGTGCTTGCATCTGATTTGAAGAGTGCTGGAAAATAATAAAATTTGCACATTTCCAAAATAACCCCACATTTATCTAACCACTACTGTGAATGCTGCCTTCTCTGTGTTTTGGTCACAGATATTTTTCTATGTTTGTATAATAATGACAACGTCTCCCTAGCTGTGTGTTCAACTAAGACACACTTGGTGATATGGGTGGGTATTGTTAAGAATAGTGAGAGGTGATTTATATCACCGAGAAGGCAGAATAGTTTATTTGTAGAATAGGTGTTTATTTTTTCAGAAAATAAATACATAATTATTTTAGGAGTTTCAGAAAATTTAGAAAAGTCACAAAAAATTATTTATTTACCCATGACAGAAAAAAACATTGTTAATAATTTTATATAATTTATCTCAGGCATAATTTTTGTACATAGGCTTTATGTATAATAACCTACCATATATGTGTGTATATATGTATATATATATAATTCCATGTTTATAACTTTCACCTAATTCATAAAAATTCATATTATAAAAAGTGCATAAATATTAATTACTACACACTTTTCCATCCTATAGACGTAGCTCCATTTATTTTTTTATATATTTAAGTTGATTAATATTTGTAAGTAAAAAAGCAATGGATAAATGGAGAGATTTTGGTCAACCTCTAATACTACAAAGAAAATAGTTTCAAAAATTACTAGATTATAGATTATTGGGATGCAGGGAGTTTGTCTTGCCACTATATCGCCAAGCTATAGAAAAATACCTGCCACATGGTACATCAGCTCCAATATTTGTAAGTGAATGCAAGAATAACTGAATGATATCTATAAATACATATTATGACATTGCTTTCTTTCTTGTACCATGTCTAGACAAGGACCCGACTAGACATAATAAGCTATACAAAGTAAGTAGGAAATATTTATTTAGAATACTACTACACAATGAACTCCCTGAAACAGCCTTTGTTGCTTTCAATAGCATATACTTATTGGTTGGAGGCCAAGCCTTTGGGAACAGAGCTTCTAGATATTGACAACTGAGAGGTGGCCAAAAATCTGAGCCTATGCTCTAGAGTTGGTTTGATTTAGGCTGAAAATGGTATTCAAAGTAACTTGCATGTGTAGGCATGGGCTGGCATCGGTTGTCTTCAAACAGTAGCAATCTACAAGGCCTCCAGCATAAAGAATGGAGGAATAAAACATTTGAGTCTCAGACTCTCAAAAATCACTCACCTTCTTGATGAATTCTTATATCAGGTTTTCTTTTTCTTTGCTCTCATATACATTCACTCTTTTCAATTTTAGCCTTTACAGGTAAGTTACAGGATTCCTTCTTTTTTTTTTTTTTTTGAGACCGAGTCTCACTCTGTTGCCCAGGCTGGAGTGCAGTGGCGCCATCTCGGCTCACTGCAAGCTCCGCCTCCTGGGTTCACGCCATTCTCCTGCCTCAGCCTCCCAAGTAGCTGGGACTACAGGCGCCCGCCACCACGCCCGGCTAATTTTTTGTATTTTTAGTAGAGACGGAGTTTCACCGTGTTAGCCAGGATGGTCTCGATCTCCGGACCTTGTGATCCGCCAACCTCGGCCTCCCAAAGTGCTGGGATTACAGGCGTGCGCCACCGCGCCTGGCCACAGGATTCCTTCTTACAACTCAGTTTACTTCTCCATATCTCAGGGTTACTGGGAAGATTACGTGAGATAATCTTGTGATACGTGTGGCACAGTTTCAAAGAGTAACCAGGTACATAATAGTTTCCTAACTCCCCTTATTTTAGAGTTGATGACATTTGTGCTTCAATAATTTAAAGAGATTGACTTTCATTTAAAACAAGGCAAATCAACAACAACAAACTGAATCCCTGACAGTTGACATTAGGGAGGCACCAAAATTTGAGGACTGGGAAATTTCATGTTAAAAATAATACTCTAGGAGATATATTTTGTCAGCATTATAAAAAGGTAGATTAGGAATTGAACATGAAGATACAGCAGTTGTAGGAATATTTATAAGATTACTTTATCAAAATAATACAAGGCCATGAAGATAAAAACCTCAGTATCGGGGTAGCTTTGGAATTTCTTACTTTCCAAAATGAGAAGAAAAACATCATAAAGTTGTATATATTTATTACTAAAAATAACTATTTTTATTAGTGTCTATTCTAAGAAAGTACTTTGTTCTTAAATGAAAAACAAAAGGATAAAATAACAAATTGGTTTTGGCTGAAAAAAATAAATATAGCATGGCCTGCATTAAGAATAAGAAGGGATGTAAGTGAAGCCCAAGTGAATAAGTGGCTTCTAACAGATTAAGTCTTACTACTTAAAAGACACTCAGAGGACCCGAAAGAGTTAATGCATTCCACCTTTTACAACAGTCTACTTAAACTCCTCTTTTGACTAAGCCATGAAAATAGCCAAATCCAAAATTCATCCCCAAAGGAAATGTTATACACGAATCTAAATAATTATACCTTCATTTAATCACACTTATTACAGCTTTGTTGTTTATGAGGCACGCACCCTAAGACCTTTAGGAATAAGTAACTTAATATGACAATAAGATTCGCCCTCTTATGGGGGGGATGTTGTGGAGGGATTGTTTTTGTTTATGCTTTATTGCTTTTGTTATGAAGATGTCATTATTTTCTCCTGACTTATGTGACTGGCATTAACAGTGGACACTCATTTTCTACAAAAAAACCTCAATTTCCATTGCTTTCCAAAAGTTATTTTGTCCACAGTGAATAATCAACTATTATATAGGTAAATTGGGAGACATATGCTATCTATATCTGTACTAAGTAATTGACTCTCACATGCCAGCATCTTCAACTAACATTCAAATTCCTACAATGTCATAAATCAATTTAGGTCATGCAGTTCTTCATTTCTCACAAAGGGAGATGTTCAATCTATAATCCCCAGGGTTTGTAGGTGTCCTTAAATGAAATACTTGAATTATACATAGGACAGGATTAGAGAGTTCAAATGCAATTGAAATGTCTTTGTAAATGTTTGAGATGGGCATGCATACCACAATGGCAATATGATAGCAAAGCATTATTACATATCAATAGCACTAACTGGATTTTGTTTGGGAAATAAAATTAATTGCCCTGCACTCATTTGGTCTGGAAACACCGACTAAGTAACTTTGTTTTGATTGCTTCTTAGGAGGTGATTAAAAGTAGATAATCATTTTGTCACAAAGGCCAGTACACAAGCACAATTGAATAAGCTATGAGTGGTGAATGTGAACTCCATTCTGATTGGGGGCTTCAACTATGAAATCCATTAGATTCACTGCTTTTGTTTGAGCAGCTGTTGATCTGCAAATATATTCAGTGTCAATGTTTATATTAAACATTTAGACACAGTATGCAGTTTGCATTGTTTTAATCCAATAAAGTATCCACAGCCACTCAGTTTTGCATCTATTTATTTTATAATGCATCCAAAAAGTTGTAATGAGGTTTATTTTCTATTTTCTTTTTGTTTATTTTTCTTTTCCCAAATGAGCGTTGCATACCACATAAAAGAGAAACTGACTGAAGTATTTTGGTGAACTTTTGTCAACTTATCTTTCTGAAATAAAATTTAACCTTATAAATCTTTTCTTAGACATAAATTCCAAGACCCAGTCACTCTTTCCAAAGGTGCCTCCAAAGATATTGAGAAAGGTAGTGTCTGGAATTTTCTCTGAGGAGAAATGCTATGAATGGTATCTCCCCAAACAATATGCTTTTTGATAGTAAAATGATTTTCATAGTTTAAGTGTATTTTTGGCTGTTTTTTTTTGTCAGCAGAATATGATATGTTTGCTCTATCTTGGGAACTTCCTTAAACTATGACATATATATGGTCGTTGGCCAGAAAAGAAATACATTGCCAAAAATCACATCAATCACTTGTTTGTTTTGAAAGTCCTGTTATCACCTTAAATATTTATAATCGTTTTCAGAATTTGTTCAACCAGTGAAATTCATCAAAACTTCATTTGGACTCTCCACTATGCCCCACTTGGACTTGGGAATTAGACAGAAGCTGTGTAAACCTTGGGCTATTGTATAACCTCTCTGAAGCTCACTTTAATCACTCATAAAATTAGAGGACTTCTTGCCATACAGGCTTATTACTGTGAGGTTTGAATGAAATGTAATTGGCATCAACAACAGTAATGTCTGCATGCAGCTAATGCATGAGACATGCCAGTCTCCTTCTTTAGGTGGTCTGAGCATAATCTGGGAGCCTCTCTGAGGTCCTGTAATTTTCTATAGCCACTGTACGGAGAGCAGATTGGAAGGTTAGGCAGAACCAATAGACCGAAAATAAACTATTATTAAAACATAAGTCTGAAGTTACTTGGTTAAGGGACAAAAATACCTAATGCTTCATTTTGCTTTTTGCAGTCTTTTAATGCACTTTCTGACTGGTGGGACAAGAATAGCCAGGACAGGGACCAAAGGAATTTTTGGAAGGCCAGCATGAACAGGTCTTTTGTGTTTTTGAAAGAACGTGATATGGTAGACTGTTTAAGAATAACCCTGACCTCATTGGTTGCTGCTGGTGTGGGGAAGTGGACAGCATGCAGTGAGGGAGGGCTGATAGAGGAAGAGGGAAAGAGATACAGAATCTACCCCTTTAGTCTTATTCCTCTGTTTTCAAGTTATTGTTTTCCAGACCATTCCTATAAGACTCTCTTTATTGTTTGCTTTAGAGTTTCTATAAGTGCTTCTTATTGTGTGTATCATAAGCTAAATGAATGACTTTTTAGACAAAACTAAGTGTTTTTGTAAAGCTATTTGAATGGTATCACTGGTATAATAAACCTTTGTCTTCGATAACCACATGCTTCTTTTCATTTCCCTTTAGAAGCTGGTGATAGGTTTAGTTGAAGTCAAATGAATAAAAATTATAATTTTTAACCTTATTATTGAGTTAATGGTGTATCCCCAATACTACCATTGGGGAACACTGTTCATTCTGTACTTGCCAGGAGTAATCTAATGAGTGGGATCAGGAGATGACAATAGCAATGCCTGGCATTTGTATTCTACCTTATACTTTGGCAGAGCATGTTTGAGGCACATTATATCATTTGATTATCGTTTTATTTCAGTGTGTCAAGCACTGTGCCCTGGATCCCAGGATTCATTTGCCTGGTACGGGAGAAATCTGCACAGCTCTTTGCAATTTGGCTGCAGCCTACCTTTCAGCTTTTTCCCAAGAGAAGATCTTAAAAAGAAATTGAATCATTGCAGGACTATGAGACAGAATATTAAAATTGAATTAATTTAGTGTAGGATATCAGGAGAGGCATCCCTGAGGTAGCACACTTTGAGATGTGCAGGATAATAGTTAACTGTGCAGGAGGCATATGTGAAGGGCTCTGGTTTAGGAGACAACAGGGGAGGGAACAACAGAAAGAAGCAAGGGGCCTTGCAGGACTCCAAGAAATGGAGCATATGCTGAGGAGAGCAAGCTGGAGAGTGAGGGAGAGTGACTGGGGGAGAGAGAGAGGGAAAAGTGGAGAGAGAAAGGGGCAGAGAGAGAAGACAAGTGGGAGAGGGAGGGAGAGTGGGGAGAAGGAAGGACAGAAGGAGAGGAAGAGAGAAGGAGAGTGGAGGGAGGGAGAGAGAGGGAGAAAGAGAGGAAAAAGACAGGCTGCTATGGTTAGGATGTTCCCCCCTACCTCGCACTCCAAACCTGATGTTGAAATTTGATCTTCAATGTTGGAAGTGGGGCCTATTAGAATGTGTTTGGATCATGGGGGTGGATCCCTCAAGAATGGCTTGGTGCTATGGTGGTAATGATAGAGAGACTTCCCATTATTGGTTCCTGGAGAGCTGATGGTTAAATATAGCCTTGTGCCTCCCCCTGCTCTCCACCTTCCTCTCTCGCCACGTGATCTCTGCACAGGCTGGCTTCCCTTCACCTTCTGCCATGAGTGGAAGCAGCCTGTGGTCCTTACCACATGCAGATCCCCAATTCAGAACTTTTCCAAACATCAGAATTGTAAGCCAAATAAGCTTTTTTTTCTTTATAAATTACCCAGCCTCAGGTGTTGCTTTGTAGCAACACAAAATGAAGTGAGATGGAGCGATAGAGGGTGGGTGGGAGATACACAGGATGAGGGGAGAGAGACGGAAGAGAGGGAAAGAGAGAGGGAGAAAGAAGCAGCGAGAAAAAGAGAGGAAAGCAGGGAGGGAGGGAAGGGAAGGGAAGGAAGGAGATGGAGGCAGAGGGGAAAAGGAGAGAGGGAGATAAGAGAGGAGGGAGAGAACAGGAGAGGGGGAAAGAAAAGGGTGGGAGAAAGAGAGGGAGAGAGAAGGAAAAGGAGGAAGGGGAAAAGAGGGAAAAGTAGAGACAGAAAGGAAGAGAGGGAGGGAAGAGAAAGGAAAGGGAGATGGAGGAGAGAGAGGGGGATGAGGGAGAAAAAGACAGAAAAAGAGAGAGACTGAGAGAAGAAGGAACAGGGAAAGAAAGGAAGCTGGGAAAGGGAGAGGACTGGGAAAGAAAGAGCAACAGAGAGAGGGGAGAAAAAGAGACCGAGGGAAAGAGATAGAGAAATATTAAGTGAGATAACGGTGAGAGATGAGATGAAAGAAAAGAAAGGATAAGGTATGAAAAGTAATAGAAGAGAGGAGACAAGAGGAAAGGAGGCTAGAGAAACAGGAAGAGGAGAAGAGAAGAAGACAGAGAAAGAAAATTGAAATCGGGGGTAGGTGGGAAAGGGTAAGGGGTTTCAAGGCTGGACTATTCAGACCATTTTAAGCCATGTTCAGATGTTGCACATTCTATAAGAATTGCATAAAACACTTGGAGTGTTAAACATGACAGTGCCATGATCGGAAGTGTGGCTACATAAGACAATGACTTTTTCCTTTAAAAGTTTATAATTTAATACAGAGAGAAAGAAGTAAAGAAACATGTAACAAAAGCAAACCAAAGCAGTATAAATCAAGGGGCCCTAGCCCCTGGGCCATGGGCTGGTACTGCGCTGTGTCTTGTTAGGAGCTGGGCCACACAGCAGGAGGTGAGCAGAGGGCAGCAGGCATTACCTCCTGTCAGACCAACAGCAACATTAGATTCTTTGGGAATGCAAATACCATTGTGAACTGTGCATGTGAGGAATCTAGACTGGCACTCCTATGAGAATCTAATCAATGCCTGATCTGAGGTGGAACAGTTTCATTCCAAAATCAACTACCCCAGTCCATGGAAAAACTGTCTTCCATGAAAAGAGTCCCTGGTGCCAAAAACGTTGGGGACTTCTGGTATAAATAACATGGTATAATTAAGTAGAGTGTGATATCCTAAATTATAGAAAGAAAACAAATACAAACTTGAGGGGGACCTGTAACATAAATTGATGCCTGAGATAAGTCTTAGAGGATTCACAGCTGCCAGGAGACAAATAGGCAGGTATAATTCAGGCAGAGGAAACAATGTACAGAGGTAGGCAACTGAGAGAACCACAATTAGACAGGGATGCAAAACCCTGTGCAGAGCCTGGGGGAGGGATGAGAGATGGGCAAGGGAAGACCCTGAAGACCTTGTGATGAAAATGAGAAGTTTGATGGGAAGATGTTCAACCTCATTAGTCACTAGGGAAACGCAAATCAAACCCCCAAGATACCATGTCATAGACACTAGGATGACTATACTTGAAATAAAAAAAGAAAATGACAGAAAATAACAACTGTTGGGCCGGGTGTAGTGGCTCACACCTGTAATCCCAGCACTTTGGGAGTACGAGGGGGTGGATCATCTGAGGTCAGGAGTTTGAAACCAGCCTGACCAATATGGTGAAACCTTGTCTCTACTAAAAATACAAAAATTAGCCAGGCGTGGTGGTAGGCACCTGTAGTACCAACTACTGAGGAAGCTGAGACAGAAGAATTGCTTGAACCCAGGAGGCAGGGTTTGCAGTGAGCCAAGATCATACCACTGCACTCCAGCCTGCAGGACAGAGTGAGATACTCAAAAAAAAAAATAAAAATAAATAAAGAAGAAGAAGAAGAAAATAACAAGTGTTGAGGAAAATATGAAGATATTGACACATTCATACTTTGCTGATGGGAATGTAAAATGGTTCAACTACTCTGGAAAACATATAAACCTAAAATTATACTATAACCCAGAAATCCCAAACTTAAGTCTATACCAAAAGAAACATTGAAAACAGGTACTCAGCCAAACATGTATTCAGACATGTCCATAGCAGCCCTATTCACAGCAGCCAAAGGGGAGCGCAACTCAAATGTTCATGGACAGATAAATGGATATATAACTGTGGTATGCACATACACTGGAATATTACTCAGCCATAAAAAGGGATCATATACTGCTACATGCTGCATTGTAGCTAAACCTCAAAAACATGCTAAGTGAAGGAAGCCAGACACAGAAGGTCACTTATAGTCGATTCCACTGATGGGAAATACCCAAAATAGGTAAATCCATAGAGACAGAAAGCCAGTTGCTGTTAGATAGGAGCTGGGAGAGGGGAGGAATGGGGAACTACTGCTTAATAGGTATAGGGTTTCCTTCTAGTGTGGTTAAAATATTTTGGAACTAGATAGAAGTGGTGATTGCACAACACTGTGAATGCACTGTTTGTCACTAACTTTTCACTTTAAAATGTTTGATTGTAGGTCATGTGAACTTAATAAAAATGAAAATAAGAAGTTTGAACTTTAAAGTTATAGGAAGCTCTGAAAGGAAGAAAGCATGAAGAAAGAGAAGAAGGAAGGAAGAGAAAGAAGAAATGAAGGAAGGGAGGGGGTGAAGAAAAGTGAGGAGGGGAAGGCAGGGAAGAAAAATGACAGATTCTCAGGTATGTTTCTGAAAGAAAACTGCCAAAAAATGGTAGATAAGGGTTTGAAGACAAAGAGCCTATCTGGAGGACTTAGTAGAAATAAAACTAAAATAAATAAGGAACTAAACTAGAACAATATTTCAGAAGGTAAGGGAAAGCCTTGATTTTACTAGTAGTGGAGAGGGTGTAACCAGCATTAATTGATGTGCCAGCCAGGGGTGAGGAAAAGGGAGAGGGAGAGAGAGTGGCTTAGCCTTGTGCATGACTTTGTTCAAGGTATAGAGCTTTGGAGGGAAGATGATGTCTTCTCTTCACTCAGGCTTAGAGACCCTGGAGCCAGGTATCGAAAGATGTCTGGATCTGAAATGTCTATTTGGTACTCATCTGTTTACAGTGAGCTGTTTAAATCTTGCAATCAAAAGAGCTGTTCTTTTAACATGATTTCATGGTAAGCAGTTCAAGTTCTCGTTTTCTGACTAGCTATCAGGTCTTATAATTATTTTTAGGCTGAAAACTTTTAGAGAAAATATAAGAGCAAAACTCAGAAAAATATCCTCAGGGAGGTCAAATTGTATAAAGCGTCTCTGCTGAGAGCCTGGTTTCATGGAGTTAGGACACAGCAGAGCCAATTATCCAAAGATTTATGAACAAAGTAGTCTGACTGATAAAGGGAAGACATAACCCAATAACAAAGTTTTATTTTTTATTCTCATAGGGTGTGTGTGTGTGTTTGTGTGTGTGTTTGTGTGTGTGACTGTACATGTACCTTTCCCTTAAAGCCAGATTGATTCTAAGGCTGGGCAAGACCTATGAATTATATAATGCTGGATTCTATGATGTACTTGATATCCTAGGGAAAAATGATGAAGTTTTTCCCAACATTTGGGGTATGAGCCATGTGGGCTGACAGAATCATTTCAGAGTGAGAAATTGATATGACAAGATGGGATGGTTTTAGCATTCCCATTGGCCAAATTCTGTCCAAATCATGTTAGGACTGAAGAGATTAGGAAAGGTAATTTCAGCTAAACATCTTTTTCTTGAGCCTATTCTCTTCTTAATTTGTATTATAAGTGTGTCAAACAAGACAAGCAATTTTCCAATTTATTTTGCAAACAGAATTACTGAGGGAGAGTGTTAAAATGTATAATATTAGGCCTCATAGAAATATACTTTCACCCAATAGTGCTTGATCTTGATGCTGTTAGCACAAGAAATAGTGGAAAAGTCAAAGTTTAAGGCACCTTCCTGCTCAAGAATTCTATGGTTCAATAATTTTATTTCCCTTCCTATGGCAAGAGTATCTTGACCAGCAATGGTGAATCATACCCATGGAATTTTTCGAACAAGCCTAATTACACACATAGTCCTGTTGATTTCTTCTTCAAATAAAATGGATTTTCAGAGTCTTTTCTTTATTCATACTATGAAAAACATAAAGGGTCCAGAGGAAAGTAGTGGATTAGATTAAAACCCTAAGACTTGGGGTTTTTAAGATTTTTATAGCTAGGTTTATTTCAACTCTGGTATATTAAACTATCATTTATTTTCCATTTACAATAAGCTAGACACTGACATGGGTAATTCAGGGATAATAGAGCATTGCTCAGATCTGAAAGAACAACAGGGCTAGTTAACCCTGTAAAAGGTATAGCTGCATTAAAATCCAATACATATAAGTCATGAAAAAGTAATAATTCATGCAATAGCAAAACAGTATCTGAGAGAACGAATTAGCCTGTAAAATAAACTAAGCAGTGTTAATAACAGTCTTTTGGGCTGGGCATGGTGGCTCACGCCTGTAATCCCAGCACTTTGGGAGGCTGAGGCAGGTGGGTCACCTGAGGTCAGTAGTTTAAGACCAGCCTGACCAACATGGTGAAACTCCATCTCTACTTAAAAAAAAAAAAAAAAAAAAAAAAAAAAAATTAACTGGGCGTGGTGGCAGGTGCCTGTAATCCCAGCTACTCGGGAGGCTGATGCAGGACAATTGCTTGAACCTGGGAGGTGGAGGTTGCAGTGAGCAGAGATCACACCACTGCACTCCAGCCTGGGTGACAGAGCAAGACTCCATCTCAAAAACAAACAAACAAACAAAAGCAAAAAGCAAACAAAAATACAGTCTTTTGGCATATGAAAGATTTTATTGAATTAAGAAAAGACATTCACATGATGGCACAGGGAATATTGATTGAATTTGGATAGATCAGAAATGATGTGTTTGGAGAGAACTGTATTTTGCATTAAATGATATGTACTAGGACTTGTGTATATGAATAAATGCTTCTGGAAAATCTGCAGGCTGGACCATCAAATAACCAAGTATCCAGCATCAGGCATGTCATTGACTGTAAGCAGTAAATTCCTGACTCAGCAAGGAGTAGCTAGCTGGCTGGGATAAAGGGAAATAAGATTTCTGTAGCCAGGTGCAAGTAGATATATTGAAGGATGTCTATACAGCCAAAGTTTTGATGTCTTACCATAATTCACCTGTATGGAATGATGACATCCACATAAAAACAGAGAAGATGATAGCTAGTATTGAGGGCCACTCTGTGGCAGGCATTGCTCTGAATGCTGTATACTTATTAACTAACTTGATTTTCAAAACTATATTGTGAGGCAAGTGCCATAATTGCTTCTGATTTGTTGCTATAAAAACTGGGTTTAAAGAAGCTAAGTGCTTTTTCGCAAGGCCACACAGCAAGGTCACACAGCTAGCAGCAGAACCAGATGTAACGTATGTTTATTTGGTGCCAAATTCCTTGTTCTTTGCCTTGACTATCCCACAATACTGCCTTCTAATAAGCAATGGAACCTTACACACTAAGCCTAGATACAGATGTTCAATGTGTTTACCATTTTTAAGATTCTCATCAATTCAGGGAAAGAAACCATGATATAAAAGAGAGCAAGCTAATTAATAGTTTTCTCATATCAGACAAAGACAGGACCATTAGAGTCTTCCACTAGTACTCAGAATCACAGTACCCCTCCGAATGTTCCATCTATCATTTCACAGCATGAAAACAATCAAATTATAGTCATTGAAGGGAAGGTAAATACAGCTAAGAGATTGATGTTTTTTAAATGAGCGGAATTTGCTGAGCTAGTCTAGAGGAAGCTCCACATTATTAGAGAGTTGTAGCTGCAAAGAAGAAAAGGGTAGAAACCACACAAGTGTCCTAGGGGGAAGATGTCTTTAAACTAGGGGCAAACTGTTAAGCTCCAAGACTGAATGGCTTGTGTGGCTCAAAAAACTCACTCAGCCCCTACACACACACTATGGCTTTCAGGCAATGCAGCACACAGAATGATATGCTATTTTCCTGGATTTATTCATATAGTGGTCACTCACATAGCTTGAACCATTGCTACTGTAAAAGAAAAAAAGAAAAGAAAAAACATTCTTCAAAATGTATGTTTCATGATATTTCTGTTAGCATGAATGTTAATACTATATTTGCTTATTGTTTTTATTATGGTAAGAACACTTAACATGAGTTCTATCCTCTTAACAAATCTTTGAGTGCACAGTACAATATTATTAACTATAGGCAAAATGTTGTACAGGAGATCTCTAAAACTGATTTGTCTTGTAAAACTGAAACTTTGTACCTTTTAATAGTAACTCCCCATTTCCTTCCCCTCCCAGTCCCTGGCAACTACCATTCCGCTCTCTGTTCCTATGAGTTTGACTATTTCATTTCATTTTATTTTGAGGCAGGGTCTCACTGTTTCCTAAGTCTGCGTACAGTGGCAATAACATGGCTCACTGAAACCTCGACCGCCTGGGCTCAAGTAATCCTCCTGCCTCAACCTCCTGTGTAACTGAGACCACAGATGTGCACCACCATGCCTGGCTAGTTTTTTGATTTTTTGTGAGAAGGAAGTCTTATTTTATTGCCCAGGCTGGTCTTGAACTACTAGCCTCAAGTGTTCCTTCTGCCTAGGCCTCCCAAAGGGCTGGGATTACAGGTGTGAATCATCATTCCTGGCCTGACTATTTTAGATAGCTCTCATATAAGTGGAATTACGCAGCTTTTGTCATTCTGTGTCTGGCTTATTAAATTTAGCATAATATCCACTAGGTTCATCTATATTTTTGCATATAGCAACATGTCCTCACCTTTTACAACTTTATAATATTCTACTGTATACACACACACACACACACACACACACACACACACACATATCTTTATCTATTTACCTGTCAATGAACATTTAGACCACTTCCCTATTTTGGCTATTGTGAATAATACCACAATGTACACGAGAGTGCAGATGCATCTATGGGATCCTGTCTTCAGTTTTTGGGTGTATATACCCAGAAATTGGATCGCTGGATCATATGGTGGTTCTACTTTTAATTTTTTGAAGAATTTCCATACTGCTTTCCATAGTGGTTGTGCCATTTTAATTTCTTATTAACAGCATACAAGAGTTTCAACTTCTCTATATTTTCACCAACATCTTTTCATAATGCTCATCCTAACAAATGTGAGTTGAAGTCTTATTGCTGTTTTGATTTCCACTTTTTAATCATTACTGATGTTGAACATCTTTCCATATAATGATTGGTCATTTATATGTCTTTTTTAGAGAAATGTCTACTGAAGTCTTTCAGCCACTTTTAAAAATCAGGAATGTTACTACTCTAAACAAAACAAAACAAAACAAAACAAAACTTTACAAAGATAATAGAGAGAGCAAGGAGAATCTGTGGATAGCAGATTGATTGTGTCATATTCAATATCGTTGTCACATTCCAGGAATCCTTTATGGATTCAAATGAATGAAAATCTGACATCTGGTCAGATGCCTCTATTTTACAGTTGGAGAGAGATCACAGAAAATATATAACTTGGTCAAATCATTGAGAAAATTGGTGACTGTCTCGATTAAAATCTATATTTCCTAAATCTCCTTCAATGATATTATTGACATAGCAGGAGCTGGTCCAGTTCTTTTCCAAGTTGTATTTAGAAACTTTCTATAAGTAATGCTCAATAAATAATTCAGATATCAGTTTAGGTCAGTCTTTTGATTTTCAGCTAAAATAGAATAATCTTACCATCTTAAATTCAGAGGCAGATTCAAGTTCCTGCCCCCCAACTCTGACCATTTATGGATTTGATTGAACTTTTCCCTCATATTATTGCCTCCAATTTATTCCTTCAACTGAATTTTTCATTTATTTTGGACCTGCTGTCCCATTTCCAACACTGCATTAGCACTCAGAAAAGCAAGTCTATTTATTACAGCAAATAATTCTGCTGTTGGGCTCTCCGTGTATACAGAATTTTTAAAAGAGTTTCTACTTAAATCACAAGACAAAAAATATAAGCCACAAAATATTAGACATTCCTGTTTCAAATTCCTGTTTTGAGACCACTTGCCCTGGACAATTTTCACTGGCCACCTAGCCTTACTGGCTTCAGACTTGAACATACCAATTTGCTTCCTCTTTTCTCAAGTTCCTCTTCTCCTGTCTTTCTCCTTTCTATACAAAGTACTGAATCCCACTATTTTCTCATGCACATAGTTTTTTTGTTTTGTTTCTATAATTTTTATATCTTTTTCTAGCTTATGCCCTAGGTACTCCATTTTCAATGGTAAATTGCTTTAACTAGGTAGTTTCCTTAAACTGAGGAACTCTACTACCATTTTTGTCAATGCAATATCACAGTGTTATCCTATTTATGATGTACCAGTCAAGTTTTGGCTACAATAATCCTCTTTTATTTGATATAATGTAGATTTCCAAGAAGGGTTTACTTCCATCATGTTGCTCTAACTTCTCTATTTACATAAATCATAAATCATATGTTCATCTATTTTTATTCACTCCAAACAGCATGAGCCTTATGAAAGATGGAAGCCAGAAAGTTGCACCCAAGAAAAGACAATTGATATGACCAGGGGAACTGAGAATACAGGTAAGCTAGGTGCCACAGTGAAATGGAGGAAGAAAGTCATCAGATGCCATATGCCTTGATATGCCTCTTTGTAGACATGCCTCAGATGTCATGGCCCAGATAAAAGATGTGAATGAAGCATCACTGAAAACTCTCAATTAAAAAAAAATCTCTTTTATCTAAGAAATTGAATAAAGAAGCTCTTTAGTACTCTTTATCTTAATAAGCTTAATTGATACATGCCAATGCTAGATGCAAAGATAACCATTGAGAGATATGATGTCTAAAACTAGTGTTTCCTTTTTTCATGCCTATCACCTGGACATAGAGGCTGACTTAGGTCACTTTGCTTATGGGACAGAACGCAGAAGAAGAAATGCATAAAATCTATATCGATTGATGTACCCCACACTATCCTATTCAGTGATTTATTTGTATCTCCTAAGTACAAAGTGTCCACCCTCAACAGATTGGCATCAGCCTGTTATAGTTCAAAGGCCAGACCTGGAATATCATGATATGATAGTTAATTTTATTTTCTACCTCCACCTTCCTAAAGTTCTTCAAAACCAGAAAATAAAAATGAATCCAGAATACCAAAGATAAATAGGGCAAGATGAGAAGAGTGTACAAGTTGCAAAGTCAAGACTGTATGAAACATGAAATTGTGAGGAAGAAAAAATAGGAACCTGACCAAGTATGCTATTGGCTTCTGCTACAATATGAAGTTTGTGATTTGAGGACATAGGCACTGTGTTGGATGTTGTGGAAGATGCACAAAGTATTTAAAATTAGTATCTTTAGAAATTTTTCTTCTACTTAGAATGAATGTATTTTTTTCTTATTTCAAGAGAATATTATTTTTCCATGTTTGATGAGAAATAATTCTTGTGATACAGATCCTCAATAGATTATATAAACTACTATTTTCTTCTATCTGTTCTATGTTCCTATTTAAAGCAGAATAATTTTAACAGTATTACAAATATTTATGTTTATGTAACATCTCAAGTAATATAAAAAGAAAGATGAAAGCAACAGATAGCACCAAATACTGGGACCCAGAAATTATTTGATTGATATTTTGATGATAACATCGTAAGTCAGTCATTAAACATATCTCTCTCTATATGTATAGACAGAGAGATTAATGAAAGGAAGAATGGATGGATGGATGGATGGAAATATATGTAAAGATAATTAGAAGGAAAAACAAGAAAGAAAAAGATGCCTGGATGATTATAAACATGACTAGGTAATATCTGTAAACAAACTATTTCTATTAGTACTGATATGTTAAATAAATTTATTTCTTCTATTTGAATTTAAGATAAAAAGAAACTTAAGAAAAACTGAAATAATTGCTACATTTCAGAATGTTTTCAGCTGGGCACAGTGTCTTACGCCTGTAATACCAGCAAGTTGGGAAGCCAAGTCAGGAAATCACTTGAAGCCAGGAGTTCAAAACCAACCTGGGCCACATATCAATACCTTGTCTCTATAAAAAAATTTAAAAAATACCTGGGTGTGGTGACACATCCCTGAAGTTCTAGCCACTCAGGAGGCTGAGGAGGGAATTGCTTGAGCCCAGGAGTTGGGGGTTACAGTGAGCTATGATCATGCCACTGCACTCCAGCCTGGGAGACAGACAGAGAGTGAGAGACAGAAAGAAAGAGAGAGAGAGAGAGAGAGAGACACATTGTCTCAGAAAAAAAAGGATTTTTTTCATATCAGGGAGTATAATTTATTAAAAGATCAATTTGAAATTAAGAAAATACATTATTAAAATCATTAAGAGGTTAGAGTCATTATTTTACCCACACTTTTAAGGCAGTATGGATTGACTTCCTTTTACGCAAATAAGATAATTAGCACTCTGAAACTTTTTACCCACATCCCCATTTTTTATTGCTAATTATATTAGTGTTACTTTGTTAAGGATTACAGAAAGTACATTCTGTTCTGAATCGATAATTTCCTATTGTTGAGACTTAGTTTTATAAATAGACTAAATGAATGCCAGTTTTTATTGTGAAACAATTTGTAAGAGGCACAAAAGAAGAGGATAGTATAGGAAATCCAGGATTAATTTGAAACAAAACCAGTACATCATGCCAAGTTTGATATATTAATATATCCTACTTGGGAATTAGAAAGTAGTTACAAAATCTTAGAGTCTGTAAATGGTAGGAACTAGGAGAGGTTTTGCCCTGTAGGGGAAACTGGACTATGAGTTGTCACAACGGGAGGTGCAGTGCCATTGGCATCTAGAGGGTAGATGTAGTGTTGCTGCTAAACGTCCTAAAATGTGATGGACAACACTCCACAATAAAAAACTTTCTGGCCCCAAATGTCAATGTTGCGAAGCCAAAAACTCTGTTGTAATCCGATTCACCGCTCAAAGCACAGATTTCCATGAAACTTTCTGACTCTAGTGTTTTCCAGTCTACTTGATCACCTCCGTCTTTTCCTCTTGGTTTCTAAGGCTCCTTACCATCCTCATTAAGACATCTTGTTCCATGTCTTTTGAATGCCTGACAAGTTTGGCTCAAACCTCCAGAGTGGACATTTTCGTCATGTTACATAGATTTTTTTCTCCAAATTAATTTCTGGAAAGCTATATTTAAAGTTCCTGAGCCAGGTGGACCCAGATAAGAATTATCCTTCTGGAAGACCTTTGATCAAGACTCCAGTTTCTGCTGCCTGTTTGTCTTACTATTAAATACCACAAACCTAGCTGCCTGCACTTCCCTGATGGCATATTATTGTCTTTTGTATAATGCATAACCCTTGAAAATGTTCAAAACTTTTAAAAACATATTTGTGCATTATAGTGACAAAAATATACCTGGATTAATATGTTTATATTTATTTCACTTGACTATTCAACAAATAACATTTATCAATAGTTTCTCATTGTTGCTAAAAATAGATGTTAGCAAAATTAATAAACATATTAAGAAAGAATGTGATAGCTTTGTTTTTAGTGTCCTCAAATGAGCACTTTTCAATGGTAGTTCTAAGAAATCAGTAGTTGCTTATGCACATTTAGGAGCATTCATATGGAGGCACTATTTGAAAAATAAGAGCAAGTTAAAAATCAATACAGAAAGACTGAAAAGTATGATATTTATGTAGATAATGATTCAGGATAATTGAACAAGATTGTTTTAAGACACAGAATATATGGTAAGTGTTTTCAGAGTGGGCTCCAAAGTTATAATTCCTTAACACAAATTTCACACTATCACTTGCTTCAATTGTTTTATCTGTAAAATGGGTGTGCTAAAAAAGCAGCTGAATCAAAGTGTTTTGCTGAGAATTATTTTAGGTAATTAGGTCAACCACATAGTACAGATTTTGCTATGTAGTAATCAGCCAATAAATATTATCAACGGTTACTATCAGTAATCATTCTTATAATCTAATCTTATCACACACACACTTTTATTTTCAGATGAGCTTCAAGCCATCGTGCCCAGCCGGGAGAGATCTCTTTTCCCCCCAAATTACTCCCTTTATATTTACCAAGTGTTTATATTTATTTATGCCAAGCTCCTCTTCTCCTCTTTATAGAACTCAAATAGAAGAAATCATTTTTATTCATTCTTCATCAATTCATTAATTTAGTGTGCATTTATTAATCCATTCTAGAATGTATTTAATGTATGCACCAACTACTACATGGCAGGAATTTATGCTAGACTCTCCAGGTACAAAGGTGAAAAGCTATAAGATTCTACTCCTCAAGGAGCAAATAAGCAACTAAGACAATAGCTCTCTTGAAGCAGTAGAGACATAGTAGAAGGTACTAAAATATATATACTTTAAAATTTTCCATAAGTTATTGGGGGTACAGGTGGTATCTGGTTACATGAGTAAGGTCTTTAGTGGTGATTTGTGAGATTTTGGTGCACCCATCACCTGAACAGTATACACTGCACTATATTTGTGGTCTTTTATCACTCATCCCCCTCCCACTTTCCCCCCAAAGTCGCCAAAGTCCATTGTATCATTCTTATGCCTTTGCATCCTCATAGCTTAGCTCCCACATATCAGTGAGAACATACGATGTTTGGTTTTCCATTCCTGAGTTACTTCACTTAGAATAATAGTCTCCAGTCTCATCCAGGTCACTGCAAATGCTGTTAATTCATTCCTTTTTATGGCTGCAATATATATATATATATATATATATATATATATATATATATATATATAATCACAGTTTATCCACTTGTTGATTGAAGGGCATTTGGATTGGTTCCACGATTTTGCAATTGTAAATTTTGCTGCTATAAGCAAGTGTGTGTAAGTGTCTTTTTCGAATAATGACTTCTTTTCCCCTGGGTAGATACCCAGTAGTGGGATTGCTGGATCAAATGGTAGTTTTACCTTTAGTTCTTTAAGGAATCTCCACACTGTTTTCCATAGTGACTGTACTAGAATATTTTTGTGGGGGAGTGAATGGAGGCTTTAAAATGGGAGGAGTAGTTCAACTGATGCTCAGTCTCTTACTGAGATTGTGCTAGTGAACCAAACAGAAGGGGCCATTCTAAACAGGTGAAGTAGCATATAGACCATCGAGATGACATGGGGAATTCTGAAGACCACCTGATGTTCCAGAAAGTCCTGTTTCAAATCCCTTTCTCACAAAAGTCTGTGCAAATGTGCTTGACGTCTGTTATTCCAAATGTCTCCATGACACCTACATCCTGGTTTTACAACAAAGAAAACACTTGTTCTTAGTCCAAATAGAAAATGGAACCCTCTCAGTCAACTCTAAAGAACAGGAAAACCATGTTTCTATATATACCAAAACATAATAAAACAAAACAACTTTTAGAGATTGTGTCTCCATGCCTACTTCTATTGCTACTTGTAGAAATTGCAGGAAGGAAATTCCTGCTGCCTCCAGCCAATAGTTGACATCTCTGCTCCACCCATAACTGATAGTAATTGAATCACTGTGGTATCCCATGCTTGGAATGTCAGTAAAGGTGTGGCCAATAGTGATTTTCTACTTTTAAAAAATAACATAAACTTTTCAGATCTGCAGAAATCATTAATCAGATCCTAACAAAGAAATTATCGGAGTCAATGTGCTGAAAATTAAAGCAACCATGTCCTCACTCTCTGTTTGTCTGTATTTCAAGGCTTGGATGTCAGCCCTGTCAACAACTATTCAGTATGGCAAGAAGAGGGTGGCATTAACTAGGTTGCTGAAAGCAGGATGCTAATCCAAGCTAGATCTACCTTGCTATGATGCATAGAGTTCCTCTATAAAAGGCATCCTTTTGTTAAAGTGTTAGAATTATTTTCTTATTTAAATGAATAATAATTGGTAATTTTAATTTTGTTTGCAGCAAAACTTTAAGAGATAAATATATATATTGGTCTTTAGATGAGGGTGTTCATTAGATACTTACATTGAAACTCAATTTCTTTAGGATCTTTCTAGACCAGAAATATATTGGACACAGGGTACTGGGAATATTCCAGAATTTCTGGAGTATAAAGCATAAGAGAGGAAATTCAAGGGGATTGGAATGGAGGGAGAAATAAGAACCACATTTTGAAGTCTCTGGCACAGCCATCCAAGGAGTTGAGGTTCTTTCCTTTAGTCAACAGGCAGCCTCAGAATAAACTTCAGCAAGATAATTATTTGATTGGTTGTATTTATTATAGATTTTTTTTTTTTTTGGTGGGAGGGTTTTAGTGGATGAGACTGAAAAAAGAGATGATTTATGAAAGCTTTTTCCATAGTTTACATGTGGCAGCATGAACAAAGTCACAGGCAGGTGAGTCAGAAAGTGGACACAGAACATACAGAAAAGGTAGGATGCAGATAAATTTATGACTGGGTAGAGATGAGGTTTAAAATAGAAAATAATGTGAGCGGTATTCCTCTAGATGAAAAAGCTATACTGTTCTCTGCATCCAAATGCTCTCCCCACTATTGCAGAAAATATTCAGTGATTGCTCACAATGCCTGTTTCCCCTTTATACCCACACACAAACAGCACCTGCATGATTATTTATGTCTCCACATCTGGAGAACTAATTTGTTTGTGGACGGTTCCAGTTCCACAGAGCAGTTAGCTATCACTCAGTTCATTCAACCCTGATAATTAAATTAAATATCTACCAACATGAAAGAGACAGCAGAAACTTACCAACAATACCAAAAAGTTTACCTGGTCCCTCAAGAAAGCTGCATTGCATTATAATGGAGACTGATAACATATTCCGTAGTGGAGAGATGGTCAGTTTAATATTCCACTCATTTTAATGTGTCTGTGGTGTAGTTTAGCAGAGTATGGTCTCACAAGTGAAGTAACACATTGGCGGCTCAATATAATAGGACAGACATTACTATGGAGTTCAATATTACACGGGCATGACCTTACTGAAGGAGATTTAATTACTTAAAATATCAGAAGGATGAGGATGACACTATAACAATATCACTGCAAAGGTCTTTAGAAAGAAGTGCTTGAGTGTCATGGATTCTGATTTCCACAAATTCATTTGTTTTATTATTTTTATTTCTGCATTCGTTTTCTTAGTTAAGGACATCATCATCATTTTTGCACATTCTACAAGTCTTAGAATCACTCCTCTTAAATATTTTTTCCTCTCTGTTTCACTGAAAATAATGCATATACATTTAAAATAATAATAATAAGCAATCAAAAATAGTCTGCTTCCCATCCCTAGATCATGAGATATGTCTCTTTCTCTCTCCACAAGTGAACACTATCCCAGTCCATTGACTATCCTTCCTGTGATAAGACAATCCTAAGAGCATGTTTATTTGTGCATGTGTGTGTGTGTGTGTGCGTGCGTGCGTGCATTTGTCTGCCAAACTCTGTGTCTTTTTAATACATTAGCATATCTTACCTTTATATTAATACACTTTCTTATTTAATGCATCTTGGAAAGTATTTCATGTGAGCCAGTATGGATTGATTATGCAACACATCTATATGGTTTTTATTGTAGAGATGCACCATGACTTATTTAATGAATATTCTATTGATGGCTACTCAGGTTGTTTACAGTCTGTTTCAGACTGAATCATGTATTCTCAAAATTTATATTTTAAATCTGTAAACCCCAGAAAATTCAGTGCCTCAGAATGTCACTATATTTGGGAGATAGGATCCTTAAAGTGTTGATTAAGCTAAAATGAGGCCATTTGTGTGGGCTGTAACCCAGTCTATCTAGGCTCCTTGTAGAAGGAGGAAATTTGGACAAAAAGAGCCATTAGGATGCCTGTGCACAGGGGAAGGACCATGGGAAGACATAGAGAAAAGGCACTATCTGCAAGCCAAAGATAGGCTTAGAAGAAACCAGACCCACGAACACCTTGGTCTTGGCCTTCCGGGCTCTACAAACGTGAAAAAAAATTAATTTCTGTTGCCACTCCGTTGGTGATTTTTTTTGTTATGAAAGCCTTTTTTCTATGTGTATCACCATATTGATACACAGTCTCTTGTCTTTACAGCAAAACAGAAACTGGCCAGGCACGGTGGCTCATGCCTGTAATCTCAGCACTTTGGGAGGCCAAGGCAGGTGGATCACTTGTGGTCAGGAGTTCGAGATCAGCCTGGTCCACATAGTGAAAGCCCATCTCTACTAAAAATACAAAAATTAGCCTGGTGTGGTGGGGCAGGCCTGTATTCCTAGCTACTTGGGAGGCTGAGGCTGGAGAATCAATTGAGCCTGAGAGATGGAGATTGCAGTGAGCCGAGATTGTGACTGGAAAATGCTCCAGTCTGGGGGATAAGAGAGAGGCTCTGTCTCAAAACAAACAAACAAACAGATATTTGTAATCTAGATGAGGTTATTACAATTATTTCTATAGATTATAGTCTGTCAAAATGAATGTCGATGCTTATCACACTTTCACTGAATAGTATTACTTTTATACAAAAGATATCTTCCTCTTTGGTTGAAATATTACATTTTTAAATTTTGACTTAGTCTAAATATCTTTTCATCTGTTTACAACAACATAAGTGGACATGGTCTCCTTATCTTCCTATTGAATCTTTATTTTTCTGCAAGGTTGTCTTTCAAAAACAAATCTTAAATTCTGATTTAGCCATATCAGTCTTTGTTTAGTGATTTGTTTGTTTAGGAATTTGTTTCATTTGTTTCTTATTTAGAAATGTCTTCTCTGTTTATAATTTTGGAGCATTATTTACAATTATATTACTACTATTCAGATTTGTATTTAAAATAAATCCATGATCAATTTGATTATATTTGATAGAACTGAAATACATATATGTATTATTCACATATATGCATACATTATATATGCATATTTATATATAATATATATTATTCATGTTGTTATCTAAGGATATGAGTTTTTCCCTCATATTTTTCCAATAATTCTCACTATTCCTGCTTGCTTATAATTTAGAATCAACTAGAGTCTATTTCTAAGTATCAAGTTCTACTTACAACTTACTCTACAATTGTGTATAATTTTTAGATTAACTTAAGGATAACTGACTTCTTTAACATATTAAGTTTTACCCCAAAATAATGACTAACTTTTTATAGACACGTGTTTTTTTTCTCATCATATAGATCTCACACATTTTAAAAGATTACTCATAGGTATATTACATTTTCATGGAAGATTAAATAGAATGTCTTTATTCTCACTCTATTATTCTTTTTAAGAAACTTGGATTTTTTATGGTGATTTTGCAGTTAGTCATCTAATTCTATTGAATTATCAGTGCTCCTTTTTTCAGTTGGTTCTCTTGGATTTATTAAATATGGCACTAAAAGTTAACTTTCTTCATCCTTGTCTCATCCTCTCTCTTTTTTCCCATTTCTTTTCAATTCACTCTAGGTTCTGTACCATCTACTTTGTCTCACCTTATATTTTGTAGCTTCAATTTCTGTAAGCTCCAATATTCTGAGACCCTTATGTTTCTGTTCTGCCTAGAAAAGTTGCTTGCTAGTATTTAATAATCCCAAATCTCATCATCCTGAATCTCATTTAATCCTGAATAAAAGCACCAGCAGATCTCTATTTCTGCCCTGCACTGTATACAGATGCAGAAGACATTGGGGGCCTATCACTTCTATCAAATCCACAGGAAGATAAAAATGGTAAGAGGACAGTGTTTTCTTTGGGGGAGGGTTGTTTAAACAGGGTTTAAAGAAATTCTTTTTGATCATTCCCTTGGAGCTAAAATGTATTCCTGGGAAATTCAAAGGGCTCCATTAGTGGGATAGTCTATTTCAATTGTAACCCACATTCTTAGCCAATGGTCTTTCTTGATCAAGCACAACTGAAAACTCCAAAAGGAGACATTAGGCAGTAAACAACCTTGATTTTGTCTCCTTTCTCAACCTTTAAATGACTGTCGTTCCTCAGCTCTAAGAGGTTGTATGATCCAATTACGAAAATGGAAAAAGACTGCTTTTATGCAAAAGCATGAGAAAGTTAATTGAAATCAATCCAGGTTCAGTGAAAATGCTACAGACATCACTGATAATTTAGAGCAATTAAAAGATGTTGTCCTGAAGCAAGGCAGAAACATTAAGTTTAAAAGCCTGTTAAAGGAAAATTACTGAAAATATTTAAATGATACTATTCACCTAAGAAGGACTAGGGACATCTAAACCAATTAGAAATTATAAGGTATTTCATTAGTCAGAAGCTGTGTTCTTAAATCTATTGAGATGAGAATTTTTCACCTTGTATTCTTTGTTATTGCAAAGTAATCTGTTAAAAACAAAGCATTAACCCCAGTTTTGGGAACATTCTTCATGAAAATAGCTGTTGCAGCTCCATGATTAGAGAAAAGTTTCTCCATCTATGAAACAAGGGTGTTTTAATTAGAACAGTGGTTTGCAAGCTTTATTATTCAAAGGTCTAAATGTTCTAGGAGATGGCTGGGCATGGTGGCTCATGCCTATAATCCCAGCACTTTGGGAGTCTTGCATAATACTACTATACCAGCAGTGCTGTTGAATCCTAGCACTTTGGGAGGTCAAGGCAGGAGGATTGCTTGAGGCTAGGAGTTCAAGATCAGCCTGGAAAACTAAGGGAGACCCCATCTCTACAATAATAAAATAAAAATTAGCCAGGCATGGAGGTGCATGCCTGTTTTCCTAGCTACTCAAGAGGCTGAGAGAGGAGGATTGCTTGAGCCTAGAAAGACGAGGCTGAGGTAAGCTATGACTGTGCCATTGAACTCCAAAATAAATAAATAAATAAATGCTCTATGAGATAATTGGACAATACATTAGGCAGGATGAAGATGGTGCAAAGAGCAAAGGGATGACATATTAGAACTCTGGAATTCTCATCTCATGACTAAAACATGAACATCTCTGTTCCATTGTGTTGAATGTTCATGGAAAACAGAGATACCAAATTTGTGGTTCATCTTGGCGCTATTTATCTTGTCCATAACATACATCATCATGCAATCAAATTTTCTTTCCCCTAGAGGCTAGATACAGCCTTTGAATCCTTCTTAACACAGTGATACAAGAAACTAGTCCCAAATGATCAGAGGTGGCATGACAGATAAAACACTGGCAAATCCCTGACCTAAGATTTTGCTTAGAAAATGATTCCTTTGCAAAATAAATACATAGGAAAAAAAACATTTTGTATTAAAAAAACAAAACTGCTGTACTAATCACTTAAAATCCTTCTACAACCTTGATTCTTGTTTATGTTCTTTAAGCCCCAGGAATACTAGCCTCTTTATCTGTTTCTAGACCTACCATCACTTCTCCCTACTCTCACTAAGTCATTGTCTAACGTGTTACTTGCTCATATAATTCTGCTGAAATGGGCCTCCTTTTTGGCCACAGAATATGAAAACCACCATTGCAGAATTGTAACTGAGACAGTGACAGAGATCTGACCTGGCCGACTTCATCTTCCTTCTAATCACCAAGCTGTACTTGCTCATTCCTGGGCATAGGCCAAACTAACTTTGGGAGGAAATTAGTTCAAAATTTGAAACAAAGATAATAGCCTTTTTCCAAAGGAAACTCCCTTCTTGCCAGGGAACTAGATTGCCTTTGTAGGACTAACAAATTGGGCAAGAGATTAGAAATTATGGTTTTGGAGTCATACAGCTAAAGGCCACAAGATTCTGACCCTCCCCAGATTGTTCCTGGGGATGGCATCACTATTGCAAAACCTAAGATCAGTGCTTGAGATGTTTTGCAGACCCTCCACTTGATGGATCAGCTTGCACCACCCACATTGATAAACTGGCTCATCTGATCTTGTGACCCCCACCCAGGAACTGACTCAGCACAAGAGGACAGCTTTGACTCCCTATAATTTCATCTCCAACCCAACCAATCGGCACTTCTTGACTCAGTCTCCCCACTCCCCCTGAAATTGTCCTTAAAAACTCATCCCGCAATGCTCAGGGAGACTGATATTTGAGTAATAATAAAACTCCAGCTTCCCCAGTAGCTGGCTCTGTGTGAATTACTCCTTCTCTATTGGAATTCCCCAGTCTTGATAAATTGGCTGTCTAGGTAGAGGGCAGGGTGAACTCGTTGGGCAGTTTCAAATATAGGTGACCAACTTAGAGGGGTTTTGGAAATTCTTCTTGTTCTGACTACAAAACAACAGGTCCCCATCAATGCTAAAACCTGGGTTTCTTAAAACACACATACTTCCCTTAATGTTAAATGCCTCATGGAATCTCTCTTGCCATCTTTACTTTTACATGCTAGATAATTTCTGTCTGGAGTCTCTGCCCCCGCCACCCAAAAAAATAATCCTATACCTTCCTAATCATTTTGTTTTTAAACCTAAGTAACTTTGTTTTATCTCTGAAAGTTCTTGCTTTGACCCTCTGCTACAGTGCTTTTTGGACCGTTCTCTCTTTTGTTAACAGCATTCCACCCAGGGAGCACTCACCTTGGAGCCCTTATTACCTGTGTGTGTTTTCATTCATTTTGGTTTATGTTTCATTGTTTTGTTTCATGTTTTCATCTATCTCTTCCACTGATCAGTAGAACTCTTGATAGGAAGGGCAGTTCCAGATCTTCAAATATTTCCCCAGGTTCCTGCCTATTACACAGTAAATGGTAAATACATGTACGCATGCAAGCATGTAACAATGAGCTGTGTAGTGCAAAAAATAGAAAAACCCTTGGATCCAAAGTCTTCACTGAACTATTTACAAACAAGCCAAAAAGAAACTTCTGAATTTTTAATTACTGCCTCAATATGTCACCAGGATAATGCTTATTCCTGTTGGTTTTGTGGAACAGAAAAATACATGGCTGTTGGATGGCATTACTTTGTCTAGGTCTTGATAGAATCTGAATAACTGAGTAGAGACTAACCTTCTGAGGTAACACATGTTGCTTAGATTTCAATTTGCACTGTCACCAACTGACATTTATTAAAAGCCTACCATGTGCTAGGAACTGGAATATGTCCACTTCCACCTGTATGGTATTTGGTTGTTAATACACCAATTTTATGTCCATTACCTTAGATCAGTTTTCATAAGCCTCAAAGCTGTCAGGAGGAAAGAGCGGGAGGCTTCTTTTCAGTTAAGAAGAGTAAGTTCAAGAGAGGGTAAAAGATTTGCCTTAGACCTATAAAATGAATACAAGTTAAGCTTTGCCCTCAAGGAACATCAACTCTACTGGAAGATCCAGATAGGTAAAATGAAAATACAAATTTAGTGTAATAATGGTAGTAAATGCCAGGAAAATTGGGGAGAATAGCAGGAAATTAACCCATTCTAGAGTTAAAAAAAATGTTTCTTAGAATTGAAAAGGCCCTTCCGAATGGGCTCTCAGAAACCATTAGAAGTTTGCTAGGGGAGAATTTAGATCAGGAATATTAAAGACTGAGGAGCAAAGCTTCAATTGTTGGAAGCAAGAGAAAAATGTTCTATTTAGGCAAATTCCCTTAGGTCAATGGACATAACCCCTAAAGTGAGATTGCAGCTCAGTAGGAGGTGCAATAAGAGAAATAACTAAGAATAAGATCATTTTTTGCCAAGCTGTACTTGGACTTTATCTTGTGTGAACATACAATTAGCATTATGAAGAGCACACTGGAGCAGGATAAGTAATTGTAAGACCACCAATTGCAATAATCTCAGCAAGAAATTATAGTTATCTACTTTAGTCTCATGAAAATGAAAATAAAATTGTTTTGCTGTTTATGTAAAGGCAATTTGTCCTTAATTGAAGAGGGACAGGCGAGAAAATTTCCTTAAGAAAAAATAAAAATTTCAAAGTGAATGAGAGCAGGGAAGAGTGGTGAGTCCTGATATAAATATAAATATAAATATAAATATAAATATAAATATATATATAGCACAGGGAAAGGCTGAGACTTGGAGGAAAATATATTTGAAGCAAAGATGCCATCAAAAAGACCACTTAGGAGCAGGTGGCAGCAAGCAAGCTTTCTTGGATTAAGATATTGCCAGTGGGGATGGGAAAAGGTTCATGGATACTAGTGATTCTCAAATAGTCAAATTATCATAGCTGGTGATTGGTTACATGTATGTGGGTGGGAGAGTGAAATACTGAAAAGAGATAGAACTCAACAGGTTTCACACCAACGCCAGCATAAATAAACACTGACTTCTTATGGCAAGAAATGGGTTCTCCCAATGACTGCTTAATCTTTCACAGGACAAAAACAGACGCTCATGTTAATAGTTCCAGCCAGGTGCGGTGGCTCATGACTGTAATCCCAGCACTGTGGGAGACCCAAGTGGGCAGATCCCTTGAGTTCAGGGGTTCAAGACCAGCCTGGGCAATGTAGCCAGATCCGTCTCTACAAAAAATACCAAAATTAGCTGGACATGGTGGCATGTGCCTGTGGTCCCAGCTACTCAGAAGGCTGAGGTGGGAGGATACCTTGGGCCTGGGAGGTGGATGTTGCAGTGAGCTGTGTCCATGCCATTGCATTCCAGCCTGGGCAACAGAGTGAGACCCTATCTCAAAAAGAAAAAAAAAAAAAGCTCCAAGAAGTTTGTTTTATATAGAAGAGTCTAATTCATGCTTACCCATACTAACACAATAATTTTGGCAACATACTCCTGAAAAATTATATCATAAAATTAAGGACTTTACCCTTTTTAAAGGTGTTCCTCTTGTTCACATACTCAGTGCATGTAATTTTCCAGGTGTGGGGTGGGGAAACGTGCAGTGAATTCAAAGCATGCAGAGAAGCAATCGAGTCATAGATTAGGGAGAAACTCTAGACAGTATTAAGTTAAATCCTCACTTTTCACAAATGTGAAACTGAACATTCAGAGAGATAAAGTGATTCCAGAGCCATCATAAAACTTTTTATTCTTTAACAAGCATTTCAGTACTGCTTTAGTCATATGATAGTGAGTAAAGTATGTATTATTGAAAAACTTATTGTAAGGGCTCCGAATGCCTCAGGACCTCTTTGAAATGCCTCCATATTTATCAGTTTAAACTAAGTCATGCAATGGTAACAGACAATAAAACATCAGTGATTCGAACCAGAAACAGCTATTTCTTGTTCATATCATGATATGTAGGTGGGGGGCTCAGCTCCTCATTATGTTTGATCTGCCTTTGAGTGGGAGCCCTCTCTTAAATACTTTCACCTGAAGGAGGCCCATAGACTGTCCACTCATGTCCTGTGGATAAGAGGATGCCCATGATCATGTCTGAATTGAAGACGCATAGTCTTCTCCTGGGGCTGGAAACAGGAGAACTGGAGAAGTGCGAATGTGTCTGAGTAGCATAAATACTTAGCATGAGTTCTTTGGAAATTGTCTTCAAATCTTTTTTTTTTTTTTTTTTTTTTTTTTTTTTTTTTTTTTTTTTTTTTGAGACTGAGTCTCGCTCTGTCGCCCAGGCTGGAGGGCAGTGGCGTGATCTCGGCTTACTGCAAACTCTGCCTCCCGGATTCACGCCATCCTCCTGTCTCAGCCTCCCGAGTAGCTGGGACTACAGGCGCCTGCCACCACACCCAGCTAATTTTTTTTGTATTTTTTAGTAGAGACGGGATTTCACCATGTTAGCCAGGATGGTCTCGATCTCCTGACCTCATGATCTGCCCGCCTTGGCCTCCCAAAGTGCTGGGATTACCGAAGTGAGCCACCGTGCCTGGCCATCTTCAAATCTTATATCACATCAGAGTCAAGATTGTGGTACCCAGAGTTGGCAAAATCAAGTAAATAATTTATCCTGTAGAATTCCGTAATAGATATTTTTATTTGCGTGCATTCTCTTGAACCATAGAAGTGTTCATGGAAAGAGAGTTGTAGAATAACAGAAGGAGAACTTATGAAGACAGTGTCTTACTTCTTATATCCCCAAGGACCAGGCCATAATTACCTGAGATCCAGATTACTCTAGAACTGATGAAAAGAGTTTAAACGGAGGATATAAGTTAAAATGCCTGGGGTCCTTTTAATATTTCCTGACAAATACGGAAGTGAGGACCAAGTCCTCACTTGTCCTGGGCTTCCCACAAGGAAGACACCAAAACAATACTTCACACACACAGTTCCTTGACATATTTGACTGGTGAGAGCAAATAACAAATGACAAGAGCTCCTGACATATTTTTTGAGGACTGAAGCAGGTGGGGATCATGATGTGGGAGCTGGCAGGTATGCACTCCAGGTAGTTGTCACTGACAGAGCCTGAGGGCTTAAGGTACGATAGGAAGAAGGAGATGACCATCAGGGCAGATATTTATTTTAAAGAAAGGAAGGGCGGTATGAGAAAGGAGCAGACACTTGCCACAGAAGGCACATTAGCAACTGCCCAGAGTGTCCTCATTCATGTTACCAGCCTCTGGATATTTTTTAATACTTTGCACTCTCTAATTTTGCCATTTGATCTCATTTTCCAACCCTAATTATTCTCTCAATTCTTTCCACCAAATTCTGCAAGCCTGGTTCAAACTTTAAAAAGGTTAAACTCTTTCTCCTCTATCATATCCAAAGGCCAAAGCATTCTGACAAATGAAATAACACAGGTATCTAGATGTAGATTTGTAACTACAACTAATCTATCTTGTCATATCCATTCAATTTTTATTTAACTTTTACTGTGGGCTGAGCATTAAAATTTTGAAAAAAAGAGAAAAAAATTTCTGCCTGAGCAGAAATTCTGGGAGCCTCTGTCAACTCTTTTATTCCCCAGAGAGAAGCAAGCAGCTGTGTTTTCTTCGTTCACTTGCTCTGTGCTAAGCAGGAGGACCAATGGTATTTGCCAGCCCAAGCCACTGCATTCATTCTCCTCAAGGATACTAGACTCAACCAAACCCATCAGAGCACCAACTGGCAAGACAGAGGCCAGTTTTGGGGGAGTTCTTTTGGAAAATGTGGGATGACAGATGCAGAAACCAATGCCTTCCCTTCCCTAGGTGAAGCTGGGACCTGGGGGGTCTCCTCCTGATCATATGATGCTTATTGGGGTCAGGATATCTGGCAAGAGGGTGTGAAAATCTCGCTGCCTCCTTTGATGAGTTTGGTTTTATTCTCCCAGGGTGCAAGAAACTTTCACCTAGTTTCTGATTTCTCACAAAGGGAATTTGTCTGTGAATTGTTGATGAATTGATGTGCTGGTGGTGGGGAGGGGAGTTCCAGGGCTTCTGATTCTATCTCGCTGACATTACAACTGAAGACACAGAAATGAAAAGGACTCATATTATGAACAATTACACACCAACAAACTGGATAACATAGAAGTAATGGATAAGTTCCTAAAAATATACACATTACCAGGACTAAATCAAGACAAAATAGAGTTTGAGCAAATCTATAAATAGTATGGAGATTGATTCGGTAACCAAAAACCTCCCAACAAAGAAAACCTAAGGACCAGATAGCTTCACTGAAGAATTCTACCGAGCATTAAAAAAAAAAAAAAAAGAAAAAATTAATGCCAGTACTTCTCAAACTCTTCTAAAATATTTGAAGAGGAAGGACACATGCAAACTCATTAAACTGATACCAAAGCCAGATAAAGACAAGAGAAAAGAAAGGTACAAGTCATTATCCCTGATGAATATATGCAAAAATATTCAACAAAATACTAGCAAGCTGAATCCAAGAATCATACAACATGACCAAGTGGGATTTACTTCTGAGATGCAAGGATGGTGAAAGTATGGAAATCAATTAATGTAATACACCACATTAACAGAATAGAGGATAAAAAATTACATCATTTCAAAAGATGCAGAAAAAGAGTTTGTCAAAATCAAACAATCTTTCATTATAAAAACTCTCAACAAACTAGAAATAGAAAGACATGACCTCAAAATAGTAAAGATCAAAAATGAAAACTTACAGCTAACATCATAATCAAGTGCGAAAAACTGAAACTTTTTTTTTTTTTTGCCTAAGGTCAGGAACAAGGGAAAGAAGCCCACTCTCATCACTTCTGTTCAATGTGGTATTGGCAGTCTTCAGTAGAGCAATTAGGAAGGAAAAGAAACAAAAGTGATACAAATCGGAAAGAAGAAGTAAAATTGTCCATCTTCGCAGACAACACAATCTTATATAAACAGAAAATCCTTAATACTCCATTTTAAAAAAAGTTAGAAATCATAAACAATTTTGGTAAAGTTACAGGATACAAAATCAACAAACAAAAATCAGTGTTTTTTTCTGTACAGTAACAATGAACTGTCTAAAAAGGAAATTAGAAAAACAATCGCAATTATAATGGCACCAAAAGAAATAAAATGCCTAACACTAACACTAAACTTCACTAAGGCGGTATGTCTTAGTCTGTTCTCGTACTGCTATAAAGAACTACCTGAGACTGGGTAATTTATAAAGAAAAGAAGTTTAATTGATTCACAGTTCCACATGCCTGGGGAGGCCTCAGGAAACTTACAATCATGGTGGAAGGGGAAGCAGGCACATCTTACACAGAAGCAGGTGAGAGAGAGAGATTGTGTGTGAGAAGGAGAACTGTCAAGCACTTGTATAACCATCAGATCTTGTGATAACTCACTATCGTGAGAACAGCATGGGGGAATCTGCCCCCAAGATCCAATCATCTCCCACCAGGTCCCTCCCTGGACACATGGGGATTATGGGGATTATAATTTGAGACAAGATTTGAATGGGGACACAGAGCCAAACCATATCATAGGTAAAAGAAAGACCTGTACATGGAAAACTACAAAATATTGATGAAAAAATTAGACAAAGCACACACAAATGGGAAGTCCTCCTGTGTTGATGGATTGGAAGATATAATAGTGTTAACATGTTCATGCTATGGAAGATGATCTACAAATTCAATGCAGTCTCTCTCAAAACCACAATGTTATTTTTCACGGAAATAGAAAATAAAATTCTAAAAATCCTGTGAAATCATGAAAGACCACAAAATAGCCAAATCATTTTTGAAAAAGAAGAACAAAGCTAGAAGCATCAAATTTCCTGATTTCAAAATATATTACAAAGCTGCAGTAATAAAAACATAATTGTAGTAGCACAAAGACAGACAAATAGATGAATGGAACAGAGTGGAGGGCCCATAAATAAATTCATGCATTTACAGTCAACTGTTCTCTGATAAAGGGCCCAAGAACACCCAATGAGGAAATAATAGTCTTTTCAAAATAACGGTATTGGGAAAACTGGATATCTGCATGCAAAGGAATGGAATTAGAACCTTATCTTGCACCACAAACAAAAATCAACTCAAAATGAATTAAAGACTGAAATATAAGACCTGAAACTGTAAGACCTCTAGAATAAAACATAAGGGAAAATTTCATGATGTTGGTTTTAGCAATGACCTTGTGAACAAGACACCAAAAACACATATGAGAAAAACAAAAATAAACAAGTAGAATGATATCAAACTGAAAAGTTCTGCACAGTAAAAGAAACAAACAGTAATAGAGTGAAAAGGCAACCTACAGAATGGGAGAACATAGTTGCAAATCACTCATCTGCTAAGGGGTTAATCTCTGAAATATATAAGGGACTCTTACAACTCAATAGTAAAAAAAAATTTAATAACAATTAAAAATGGGCTATAACCTTGAATAGACACTTCTCAAAGAAGGCATGGATATATTTGTACAACAACTTGAAGTCTATAAATTCCATGAAGGATAGGACAGAAAACCTCTATCTAAAACACTTAATATGACTGGGACTTAGCATTCAATGAACACTTTATGAATGAATGAATTATTAAATTAATTAGAGTATTACAGTGGGCAAATATAAAACAGCTCCCCAAGAAAGATGTTCTCAGTGCAGTGCTCCACACTGCGATTTGAAGCTCGCCTTCACAAACGTGGCTTTGTAATCCCCAGATAATACTTTCTGCTTGTATCTGACAGCCCCCAGTCCTTTGCAGAAAATGCTACACCCTTCATGAGCCCCAGTACTCTGTTCTGGCATCCTGACAGCCCTAGATTTAAATCAATAAAATTTTCCAGCATCTACTAACAGTTGAAGACTGAAAAAAGTCCATTTTACTGCTGAAAATACAAGCTTCATAATGAGGTAAAAACTTGATGTTGTGGATAATGTGTTCACTTAACCTCTGCTAAGGGCAAAATATGTGATTTATTGATTTTGATTTTCTAATAAAAAATTATGTTACCTTTTCATAAGCAACTTATTACCAGATGCTGGGGTCTTGGGTCCCATAAACAAAGATTATGCTTAAAATATATCAAAAGGAGAATTTCAATATAAAAATCAATAAAAATATGGAAAAAGCAAAATGAATCAAGATCAAAAGCAATTTCTTCTTGGGACATTGTAATAACATTTATTTTTAAAAAATCCTCAACTCATTGCCTGATCCTGAACAAAGTAGTAGAATAATAGTGGTAGAAAAATTAACAAAACCAATATAATAGTAAATAATGACAACAGTAATAATAGCAGCTTCCACTTTTTGAGCACTCATTGCACATCAGGTGCTGGGATGGAAGCTCAGATTACTACAGAGAACAAATTACACGTAGATTCTAATGCATTCTAGGCAGGAGACTTGACTTTTTAACATAAATTATCATATTTAATACAGCAATCCTTGGGGGGTCTGTATTTTAATGACTGTATTTTAGAATGAGAAAGTAGAAGCTCAGAGATATCAATTCACCTGTGCCAAATCACAGCTAATACATGCTGCAATCTAGATGATATTTGAACTCCAAATTTAATGATCATTCCTATAAACCTTACTGCTCCTCACAAACACCGAAAAACACCAAAAAATATTCCATCAACCACCTGGCCAATTGGTGAAGATTTAATTATTTTTGAGGAGAATTGTAGGTCTTCTTTATTTTTATTTTTCAAAGTGGATCATCCCCAGGGTGATCCTCAGCTATTGCTCAGGCTAGATTTAATAAGTGCTGGCATTTACATTTTTGCATGATAGTGGGGACTATACCACCGAAAGCCAGGGATTACTTTTTGTGAGCTACATTTAATCAAAAGTGATCCATAATTTCAAGCTCCAATGCCTTCCACCATGTTATTAACTAGACAGTTGTTCACTGTGAAGCCTCCTCACTCAGGTTTAAAATGTGGTGTGTGATATGCTGAGAGACTTCTCTTTGCCACCTCCCAAATGGCTGCCCTTTTTAAAAGCTCAAGAAATAATTTTATCCTTTGGTTTCTTACTCTTCCCTAAGTATTACAGATGAGTTGAAAAATATTAGACTTACTAGTGAGGATTTTCTTAGACAAAGTAGTTTGTTATATGTTTGTGAACATACATGAATGTGTATCTATATGTGTGTTTCAGGAAGGAACATTATTATCAAAACATAAAGTTTCCCCCCACCTACCTCTGAGCACCCATCCTGTCCAGTCCATTGTTCCAAACAGAATTTCTTAACTCCCAGCAAAGGGAGATATTGTAACTAACTGACTAAAATAGATCAAGGAGTATTATTAAATCAATCATGTCAATTATGAGATAAAGGGTACATATTCTATTTTCTCCCCTATGGCAACATAAGCATCAGAATTGATGTTTTATCAAGAAAAAGTAGAACAACAGATAAATTCTAAAGCCATGAAACGGTGTGAACACTCAGAACATTTTTAGATTATACAGCCACCTCTAAGCTCAGTCTCTCTTCCTCTCTCCCTCCCTCTCTCTTCCTTTCTTCCTTCCTTCCTTTTTTCCTTCTTTCACTGTCTTGCTATTTCCTGCCATTTTATTTATATATGTAATTTTTTATGTCTTAGGTCTACTTTTCTCCAGGACTTAAGAGAGTGGTTTTTATCATAGAATGGAAAATAAAATAACCAAAGCACTAGCCACAAGGGAAACAGCACTCCCGAATGCCACCTGGAGAAATGGTTGGCTCTATTTTGAGGATGAGCTGGGAATCAATGGGGCAAGAAAAGTAAAAATTGAGCATAAACAGGATAACTTGCAGAGACTGTCCTTATTGCCTCTGTCTTCTCTCATCCCCAGTTGGAGTGTTGCTGCTGGGCTTATACAACCAGGAGCAAATACGTGGCCCATTTGAAATCCTATAATGAAGACAATGGTGGGAAATTGGAACCTAGTACTTCTTTCAAGGGCAGTGTTTGGATGTGGATGCCATGGGGTTTGAATACTGTTTTTGTAGATGAAAGCTTGGAGAAATTCCTAAGTTTCTGTTTGTCACCTGCAAGATATTTTTTTGAAAGAAATAAATACTGTATAGGCAAAAGTGATTAATTAGATTGATGAGAAATTGGCAAGTGCAATAAAAAAGAAAAAGTGATGGTTAAACTTTTGGCTTATCAAAATTTTTAAAAATCATTTGTGCCAAGGCAAAATATCTTTATTTTCCCTAAGCATAAGTCATCTGGGTATTTAGAGATACTGGATTAATTCAGTTCACTGTATTATGATACTTCAGCTCAGTCTGGCAATGAAGACAGACATATTGGTTGTCATTAGTTACCAGTAAGACATTTCATGAAAGAAATAAAGACTGTATAGGTAGAAGTGATTACATAGAAAGGTAGCTTTTAGTTCACTTCATTTGTCAGCTCCTGATGTTTTCCTGCCGAATCTTCAGGCAGCCAAGTATAGTAAAATAGTAGTAGTAGTAGCAGTTTATGGTGTTTTCTTAAAATAAAATATACTTTAGATTGTCAGCCCAGGGTCAATCTTGGGCTCAAAATTTTGAATTAAATTACTCTCCTGAATAATGACCTTCCCTTAGGGTTGACAGAGAAGGTCTTTTGCCAGAAAAGAAGATTTTGAAGTTAGAAAGGTCTTGTCTGTTGCATCCTGGCTTGATACTGGAACACTTCATTGATTCTGGCTATATTCTTCTTCCATAAAATTTCTTTATGGCCACAAATATACTCAGTCTTGATTTCTAACTCTGTCTGCATTCCATCCTTCTTACTGACTGTTTAGTGACTATATATATTTGTATTTATATAATTGTACGTGCACACACAAACACACACACACACACACACACACACATATATATTATTGTGCTGATGAGCAACATTAATTGTAAGATAGGCAATGTTAAGACAGAAACAATGTAAAGGGGGCAGAGGATGTGAAAACTCAGCACCAGTCAGTCTTAGCTAGGTGAATTTTGCAGAACTCTTTCCCTGTGGTTACGTTTTCAGTTGCCTCCTCATACCACTATTAATTTCTATGGTTCTTTGAGAGAAATAGCATCCCACTGACAAGTAACATTGAAAGAACTTAGGCTCTTCCAAGCTCAATTATAAACTTTTGGTATTGATACTGGATTAGAAGCTTAGACTACGTAGGGCATTTGAGGGATTTGGAGGCTGAACAAGAAAAAAATATAGGACCACAAGAGGCAGTTGTGTACAAAAAACTTCACTGGGCAATGCTCAAACATGGTCACATGAGAGGGGTGTCCCTTTATGGCAGGGGGCCATCCAGAGGCTTATAGTGACAGGGCCAGAAGGAGAGATTGGTAAGGAAACTCCAGAGAGATAGGGGGATGAAAGCAGCATAATAGGGAGTTTGTCTTTGTCAGAGAACTCTGAAGGGTAATAGTGGCTTAAAGCAGGGGTCCCCAGTCCCCAGGCCGCATACCAATGGCAGTCCAGGGACTGTTAGGAACCAGTCCACAGAGCACAGGGTAAGTGGCAGATGAGTGAAGCTTCATCTGTATTATCAGCCGCTCCCCATGGCTTGTGTCACTGCCTGAGCTCCACCTCCTGTCAGATCAGTGGTAGAGGGAACTAGGTCGCATGCTCCTTGTGAGAATCTAATGCCTGATGATCTTTCACTGTCTCCCATCACCCATGATCTCCCATCATCAATCTAGTTGCTGGAAAACAAGCTCAGGGCCCCCATTGACTCTACATTATGGTGAGTTATATAATTATTTCATGATATGTTACAAGGGAATAATAATATAAATAATGTGTGCAATAAATGTAATGTCATTGAATCATCCCAAAACCATCCCCCTTCCCCCATTCTTGGAAAATTTGTCATCCATGAAACTGGTCCCTGGTGCCAAAAAGGTTGGCCGACTGCTGGGTTATATTATTAAAACCACAAACCTCTCTCTTATTAATGGCCAACAGATGCAGCAGAAGATTTTGTTGAGTACACAAAGCAGATAGTCTCTAAATGACTAAAAGTCTACTTATTTGGGTTATTTATTTGTAATAGTTTCAACTTTGAGATTCAGGGGGTATATGTGCAAGGTTGTTACAAGGGTATATTGTGTGAGCTGAGATTTGGGGTACAATTGATCCCATCACACAGCTACTGAGCATAGTGCCCAACAGTGAGGTTTTTTTTTCTTTTTCTTTTTTTTTGAGATGAGTCTCACTCTTTCACCCAGGCTGGAGTGCACTGGCCAATCTTGGCTTACTGCAGCCTCTGCCTCCAGGGTTCAAGCAGAGGCTTGAATCCGGGAGGCGGAGGTTGAAGTGATTCTCCTGTCTCAGCCTCCTGAGTAGCTGGGATTACAGGTGTGTGCCACCACACCTGGCTACTTTTTGTATTTTTATTAGAGACAGGGTTTCACCATGGTGCCCTGGCTGGTCTTGAATTCCAGACTTCAAGTGATCCACCCACCTTGGCCTCCCAAAGTGCTGGGATTATAAGTGTGAGCCACCACTCCCTGACCAATAGTGACTTTTTCAATTCTTTTCTTCTCCTTCTCTTCCAGTAGTCCCCAGTGTCTAACGTTGCCATCTTTATGTCCATGAGTATCTAATGTTTACCTTTCACTTATAAGGGAGTAATGTTTCTGCATTAATTTGCCTAGCATAATTGCCTCCAGCTGCATCCATGTTGCTGTAAGGGACATGATTCTGCTCTTTTTTTATGGCTGTGTAGTATTCCATGGTGTATATGTATGTTTCATTATCCAGTTGTTTGGATTATATTTAAAACAATAGGGAACATAAAATTTTCTATTTGGTTATGGCAGGCTTGTGAACTAACAGGTATTAATTTGCAGTGAAGAAATAACCTAGGGGGTAATACCTACAGACTATTGTTTGGCTCATTTATAAAATAGATTGCCACGAAGAACTAAGAGTATCAAAAACCAAGAGCAGTTTTCTGGACAAGGCACATGAAAAGGTCTTCTGTTTCTTTTGTTGTGTAAATTTTTAAGAAAAAAAAGAAGAGGACCAGAATTTGAAGAAAGCTGGGTTGACATAATTATTGAATCTTTGTTAAATGAGCCTTATCTGAATAATATTTGAGCAGAACATGGGATGAGTCTTAAGATATTGTTAATACTGGATGATGAATAACACCCCCTAAAATTTTCCTAATAAAATAATCATGCCATATTTACCTAAGATTCCAAAAGGCTCAGGCTACTAAAAGTATCTAGGGAGTAGTAACACTTAGTACTCAAATGACCTTAACAACTTAGTCCCACCTACCCTTTCTGTTAGTTTTCTATCAGTGTGCATCAAACAACCTGCCTTCCAGTCTCCCAAAAGAACCCAGAGGATTTGTTATTGTTTTATTTCTTTCGTTGTTGGTTTTGCTTTAAATAATCTTTTTATTTTAATTTTATTTATTTATTTATTTTTGAGACAGAGTTTTGCTCTTGTTGCCCAGGCTGGAGTGCAGTGGCACAATTTTGGCGCACTGCAACCCCTGCCTCTGGGTTCAAATGATTCTCCTGCCTCAGTCTCCTGAGTAACTGGAATTACAGGCATGTGTCACCACGCCAGGTTAATTTTGAATTTTTAATAGAGACAAAGTTTCACCATGTTGGTCAGGATGGTCTCGAACTCCCAACCTCAGGTGATCCACCTGCCTCAGCCTCCCAAAGTGCTGGGATTACAGGCGTGAGCCACTGCACCTAGCCTAAACAATCTTTAAGCTAACCAATCTATCCATGCTGTCTAGAGATGCCCTAATGCATCCTACTTGGTAGATGGTGAATAGTGATAGATTTCTTTTCCTTTTCCTTCCTTCCTTCCTTCCCTCCCTCCTCCCTCTCCTTCCTTCCTTTCCTTCCTTCCCTCCTTCCTTCCTTCCCTCCCTTCCTCCTTCCTTCCCTCCTTCCTTCTTTCCCTCCCTCCTCCCTCTCCTTCCTTCCTTCCCTTCTTCCTTCCTTCCTTCCCTCCCTCCCTCTCCTTCCTTCCTTCCCTTCTTCCTTCCTTCCTTCCCTCCCTCCCTCTCCTTCCTTCCTCTCTCTCTTTTCTTGTCTTTCCTTCCTTCCTTCCTTCCTTCTTTCTTCTTGACAGTCTCATGCTGTCACTCAGAGTCGAGTGCAGTGACCTTAACCTCCTGGGATCAAGCAACCCTCTCACCTCACCCCCCGAGTAGCTGGGGCTTCAGGTGTACACCACCAGGCCTAGCTAATTTTATTTTATTTTTGTAGAGATGGGGTTTCACCATGTTGTCCAGGCTGATCATGAACACCTGGCCTCAAGCCATCCTCCCACAATGGCCTCCCAAACTGCTGAGATTACAGGCATGAGCCACCCTACTTGGCCAGATTTCTCATTAATGTATCAAGAAAAAATTATGTTACCTGCTTTGTAAAGTTTTCTCTGAAGTTCCCAGGCAAAATGAATAAATATGTCTTCTATATTTCCATAGAATTTTGCCTGTGATATTACCAAGGACATTTTATGCTTCATGTTATAATTTTTTTTTCTATATTGTAGGCTCCCCTCATCCTATACCTTTAAGAGAATGCCTCTCATAATGTTAATTCTCTTTGAGTTAGAGCAAGGTCTGACACACAAAGGTGCAAAATAAAGGTTTGCTAGATTAATAAAGTATGTATATTGTTTTTACTAACTTTGCTAAATGTTTAGCTGTCTTAATGAAATATGAATGTGGTAACTTGTGCTAAAGGAGAATGTCAAAAGTGATTAATAATAATTATTAATTTATCATAAGAATATATATTCAAATTAGTAAAAAGTTAAAACAAATTCTTACAAAAGGCATGAATGAATTTCAAAATGTGTGAAAAGTCTGAGATTATTGCAGAATTCTATTATTCATTTTTGATTATCTGGTGAAGGTAGAACTAATGGCCCAGAATGTTCTGTCCCACAGTTCAGTGAGGAAGATTCTTTTGGGTGGTACACAACATTCTTCGTGTCATAATATCACGTGTTCTCTCCTACATGTGAGAGCCAAAAAAGTTGATCTCATGAAGGTAAAGAGTAGACTGATGGTTACCAGAGGCCAAGAAGAGTAGAGGTAATAGGGGATGAAAACAAGATGGTTATTATGTAGAAAACTACAGCCAGATAGAAGGAATAAGTTCTAGTGTTTGATGGTACAATAGACTGACAATAGTTAACAATGATTTAATGCGTATTTTAGGATAGCTAGAAGAGAACATTTGGAATGTTCTCAGCACAAAGAAATAATAAATATTTGAAGTTATTAATATTCTAATTACTTTGATTTGATTATATGCATGTATCAAAATATCACATTTACCTCATAAATATGTACAATTATTATATAGCAATAAAAAATAAAATAAAGTTTCACATACTTAAGAAAAATTATCCAGGTTACGAAAAACCAATGTCACTGGAATTTGCCTCTAAGAGACATTGGACAATTGTTGGAATAATGGAAAAAGTCACTCAGGGGCATGTCTATTTCAGCATATAATAGGCCTGAATAAATTCTCTCCTGCACATGCTACTTCTAGATTTTCTTTTACTTTACACCATCTGTTGGTCTGCATTCCATGTTGCTTTTTGCATCCTTTTGGAAGGCATAAGCAGTACACCTGCCTCACAGATGTTCCAAGGCTCAACCAGACACCCAGATGCAAAACTGATGAAAAGAGAATTGGCCAAATTTGAGGTGAATAAAAAAATATTGAATGCAATTAGAAAATTTTCATGCATACAGAGAATAATCAGGAAAACTTATTAAAGATCTGCAGCTTTATTAATTGTTAGGCTATGAATTAATTTTTAGTACAATGAACTGTCTCTTTTTTTGTTATACAGAATTAATTTCTGGTCCACCTCACCTGATCCCAGGGAGAAAAAATCTTGGAGCAGAGCTGGTAATGTATTTAAGATGCCAGAGGTGGTCCCTCTGGAGTGGCTGCTGAGAAGAAACTGGCTGAAGTGGGGGGTGTGGCCAGAGTTGTGCGCTCCACAAGGCCAGCGGGAGCCCACACTTCTGGGCACAGCTGCAGCTCCAGACCCAGGTGAGAGGTGACAGCATGAGGGCAGCCCTCACAGCCCTCGCTCGCTCTCGGCGCCTCCTCTGCCTGGGCTCCCACTTTGGCGGCACTTGAGGAGCCCTTCAGCCCGCCGCTGCACTGTGGGAGCCCCTTTCTGGGCCGGCCAAGGCCGAAGCCGGCTCCCTCAGCTTGCAGAGAGGTGTGGAGGGAGAGGCGCGAGCGGCAACCGAGGCTGCGCGCGGCGCATGCGGACCAGCTGGAGTTCCGGGTAGGCGTGGGCTTGGCGGGACCCGCACTCGGAGTGGCGGGCTGGCCCTGCCGGCCCGGGCAATGAGGAGCTTAGCACCCGGGCCAGCGGCTGCGGAGGGTGTGCTGGGTCCCCCAGCAGTGCCGGCCTACCGGCGCTGCGCTCGATTTCTCCCCGGGCCTTAGCTGCCTTCCCGCGGGGCAGGGCTCGGGACCTGCAGCCCTCCATGCCTGAGCTACCCCCGCCTCCGTGGGCTCCTGTGCAGCCGGAGCCACCCCGACGAGCGCCGCCCCCTGCTCCAGGGCGCCCAGTCCCATCGACCACCCAAGGGCTGAGGAGTGCGGCCGAAGGCTCGGGACTGGCAGGCAGCTCCACCTGCAGCCCCAATGCGAGATCCACGGGGTGAAGCCAGCTGGGCTCCTGAGTCTGGTGGGAACTTGAAGAACGTTTATGCCTAGGTAAGAGATTGTAAATACACCAATCAGCACTCTGTCTCTAGCTCAAGGTTTGTAAACACACCAATCAGCACCCTGTGTCTGGCTCAGGGTTTGTGAATGCACCAATGGACACTCTGTATCTAGCTACTCTGGTAGGGACTTGGAGAACTTCTATGTCTAGCTAGGGGATTGTAAACACACCAATCAGCACCCTGTCTAGCTCAGGGTTTGTGAATGCACCAGTGGACGCTCTGTATCTAGCTACTCTGGTGGGGCTTAGAGAACCTTTGTGTCTAGCTCAGGGATTGTAAATGCACCAATCAGAGCCCTGTCAAAACAGACCACTCGGCTCTCTGTAAAATGGACCAATCAGCAGGATGTGGGTGGGGCCAGATAAGAGAATAAAAGCAGGCTGCCTGAGCCAACAGTGGCAACTTGCTCGGGTCCCCTTCCACACTGTGGTAGCTTTGTTCTTTCGCTCTTTGCGATAAACCTTGCTGCTGCTCCCTCTTTGGGTCCACACTGCTTTTATGTGCTGTAATACTCACCGTGAAGGTCTGCACCTTCACTCCTGAAGCCAACGAGACAATGAACCCACCGGGAGGAACAAACAACTCCAGACGCACCACCTTCAGAGCTGTAACACTCACCAGGAAGGTCTGCAGCTTCACTTCTGAGCCAGCGAGACCCCGAACCCACCAGAAGGCTGAACACATCCGAACATCGGAAGAACTCTGGACACGCTGCGTTTAAGAACTGTAACACTCACCGCGAGTGTCCGCGGCTTCATTTTTGAAGTAGGTGAGACCAAGAATCCACCAATCCCAGACACACAAGCATGCCTGTGGCTTGTGTGTCTGCAGGCTTGAAAGTGCTTCCTCCCACTGCCTGGCCTCTCCCCATTCCTCGTGCCCACTCCAGGGCAGAGCAAAGCTGTGGCTGAGCCTAGGCACTGTTGCAGTCTGTGTGTGCACACTCAGGGCAGTGCTGACACATCAGGCCCCTGTTGCCTTGGCTCCCTCAGGACTTTGGGTGCTGATGAGCATGGGAGAGAGGCTGAGCAGGGGCTTCAAGGCAGCTCTGCCAGGGCCTGCAGGTGTTTCTTGGCATGAATAGCTTGAGTGCCATGGACAACGTGTTGATGGCGGTAGGAGGCAGACAGGCTCTGGTGCAGAAAGGGGTGGGTTACTAGAGAAACCCCACTTTCAAGCCAGGGACAACCTGAAGCCTGAAGGCCAAGCTGTCAGTTCCAGGTGGAGTCCACAGCCTGGAGTGAGAATTTATGGTGCTTTATCTGAGCCTTCCCATGGCCTCCCATGGAACAATCAGAATGCACTTCCTCCATTCTGAGCCCGTGAAAACCCTCAGACTCAGCCAGACTCACGCAGACTGTGGGATGGCCTGCCTGCAGAAAGGAGCTAACCACTGCGGGTCTCTTCTCCACAGAGAACTGGACACTTGTCAAGAGGACCTGCCTGCAGAAAGGAGTTCCCTCTTCTGGTCCCCTGAGAACTGTTCTGTTGTTCAGTAATGCTCTTCTCAGCCTTGCTTAACCTTCAGTTGTCCACATACCTCATTCTTCTGGACACAGGACAAGAACTCAAGACGTGCTGAATGGGGGGATTGAAAGAACTGTAACACAAACAGGGCTGAAACATGCCCACTGCTTGCCATGTTTCAGGCAATGAGAAGGAGAGAAGATCTGTAGCCTTTTGGACACCCCAGACCTAGGGGCTCCCCAAGCCAGGGCTGTGACTACTCTCTTGGGGCTCTGAGTTCCTGGCATCTCCAAGCTTCAGGGTGCCACCTTGTTCCCCTTGTCCAGACATAGGTGCCTGCTGTGGAAGCTGCCGTGCAGTACATCTGGTCCAGCTGCAGCCTCACATGGAGCCGGCACCTGTGTCAGCACCTGGAGCTGCCTGCCCTGCCACAGCAGCTGGCATGCCTGGCTGTATGCAGTGGCTGGACCCTGCACTTGCTCGGCCACACACCACTCATCTCTTTGTGCCTGGCCCACCCTTGGTGGATGTCGGATCCAGGCTGGTAGCATGAGCCAAGTGCAGCCTGCCAGTCTGAGTGGGCAAAATGAGCTCAACAGGTGCAAGCAATACTCAGGCAGAAAGCACCAGTGGACACAGAGGTTTCCAGCTGATGAAGTGACACACCAAAGATCCTGTGACATTTATTACTAAATAAATAGTATTGCATAGTTTCTTCATGTGATTGTGTGGTTATGAATCTGTCAGGGAAAAATACATGGCACAGTCTGTGTTATTGATCTTTTATAGACCCTGGTACACATCACTAATCAATGATAGCACTCTGGACAGCCACTACCAATCAATCAGAATGTGTACTTACATAAAAAACTAATTATATTCATGTAGTTATTTTTACATATATTCCACATATTTCTTTATCTACATCTGTCTATCTCAAACAAATAGGGAAAATACTAACATTCATTCTTCTCATATTCATTTAAATGTGTCCTTTTCATAGAGGTTTTTTTCGGTGAAGCTATAAAGTCCCACTCACCAGGAATTATCAAATATGTTACCATCACCTATTCACATGTCATTTATCACAATTTGAAATTACGATTTGAATTATCGTGATTATGTTTATTTCCTTGCTTTATTTTTTTGATATCTCAAATGAAAATATAAGCTCTAAGAAAGTCAGAAGTTATCTACCTGGAACTTTTCTATATTCCCAATATAGACAAAAGTGCTTACTAACTAGTGGCCACTCAATAAATGTTTGTTCAATGTAAGCAGTAAAGTTTATAAGAAAAGGCCCAAGAGCAAGAACAAAAATGAGAGGTGTCTGATTTCTATACATTAGCTCTTTTTATCTGGAGAAAACTCTGTCCAAAATAAATATAATGTGAACTACATATGCACGTTTTAAATTTCTAGCAGACCCATCAAAAAATTGAAAAGAAGCAGGTAAAAGTGATTTTAAGAGTATATCTAATCTAATACAATATATTCAAAGTAGTATCATTTCATTATGGTATTGATAATAAAATAATAAGATATTTTCTTTTTTTTTTGTGCTAAGTTACTGAAATCTGGTGTGTATTTTATACTCACAGCTCATTTCAATATGAACGAGGCACATTTCAAATGCTTTGTAGCCATAGATGGCTAGTGGCTGCTGCACTGGACATTGTGGATAGAGAATATAGTTTGTGTGGGAGTTTCACGAAAAATAAGCCCAACTGGTAGGGCTATAATTCGGTAATCATGGCAAGGTGAGATCTGTGGAACAAATTAACAAAAGGAAGATGATTAGCATTGTGTTCAAGGAAAAGTAACATAACGTATGTTGAAGTTAGAAGATGGCAAGAAAAATTTGGAATTTGATTGTCATGAAACAAGTAAGAAATAGATACTTGAATTTAAGCAGTGACATAGACTGGGAAAGGTGGGGTAGATAAATCAGATTCAGTAAATATTCTGAAGTAGACATTTATTCAATGCAACTTCACAAAAACCATCCTATTTTACACCAATAAATATTTCCAGGTTTCATTTAGAGTGATTTGCTGTGATAATAACAGTTAAGAATTATGAATCTTTTCACTCATAAAAGAAGTCTTTTTACACCTTTACATTACACTCAGCTGACAGCAAACCTGTCAAAAAGCAAATTGATGGATGAAAGATGAACATAACATTTAAAAACACTGAACCTCTTTATATAAAACTTAGTTGGAGACTTAAAGTAGAAGTGTCTTTTGAGGCTACATCTTTGTGTTCAACAAAAGACAGAAGAGGCTTTGTTTAAGGGTATAGTGCCCCATCATTTCTGCTCACACAAAGGCAACAATCCTTAAAGCCCAACTCAGGCCTTGCTTCATCCATGAATACATAAGATTTTTGTGGGCCTATAATGTAGCAGACATAGTGTTAGTTCCCATAAGTGAAATATCTCACTTGACATATGATCTCATGGAGATCCCAACCACTCTCCAGCTCATTGCATTCTCCAAAGGATTTCGGGGTGTTTACTGTCTTCTTTCAATCTATTCTTTTTTGCTAAAACAAAATACATTAGTCCATGTTTGCCAAAGGATTAAAAGATACCAGTGTACATGTAAAATACTTAATATATACTATCTTATTCTTTGTTGTTGTTGTTTGTTTGTTTCATTTGAGACAGGGTCTTGCTCTGTCACCCAGACTGGAGTGCACTGGTACAATCTTGGCTCACTGCAGCCTCTATCTCTTGGGTTCAAGTGATTCTTGTGCTTCAGCCTCCTGAGTAGCTGAGACTACAGGCATTCACCACCATGCCCAATTAATTTTTGTATTTTTAGTAGAGATGGGATTTCACCATGTTGGCCAGGATGGTCTTGAACTCCTGACCTCAAGTGATCTTCCTGCCTTGGCCTCCCAAAGTGCTGAGATTACAGGCATGATCTACTGTGCCTGGCTGTTTAACAACTGTATAATGTAAGCACTATTATTATTCAAATTTTCCAAAGAGGAAACTGAGGCTTAGAGATGTTAAGAAGCTTTTCAAAGTCAGAAATAAAGTGGAGAATAGATAGGAACACCATTGATCTAAAAATTTTAAACAATCATATCAAATATCATTTATCTCAAAAACATTTATTCTCTTAATAACCTAACCTAAGGGCAACAGCAATGAGAGTTGCAAAAAGGAGACTGTCCATATGTTAGATGCTACTGAAAAATTAAATAAAATGAGAATTGAGATCATTTGTTTCAGTTGCATTTCTGGGAGAGGTCAACTTTGGTAACTTCTGAAGCAATATTTCAGATGAGGAATGGGGAAGAGAATGGACAGTCATTGTTGTGGAGATTGTGATTGAGTAAGGAGTCCTGTAGTAATGCATCCTCCATGGGAAATCCTAAAACCTCTTCCTCTACCTCCTTTCAGTTCCGTAATTTGACTTCCCTGGGAAGTCGCTGAAGGAGATGTGAGTAATGTAATTGTTATAATTACTATCCAATTTGACCCTGATCTACTAGACAGTTGTAGACCCTCAGAGTGAATAGTGACTTTATAAGTATGTAATTCAGCATCCTATCATAAACCTTTAATTTTCTCTGGTATCTTGGGACAAAGCATACAGTTTCATGACGTGAGTTTGTTAGTTCCTTTAATTTATTTTAATTGTTAAATGAATGCAAAAATATTTCTTAAAATGAAGGCAATATAACTGTTAGGGCTGCTCTGAAATTAGAGTAGACATGATATATATTTATAAAGAGAGTTATATGTTTTATTTTTCATATAATATGCAGTGACTTGCCAATATGGTGCATTATTTTTTTTTCTTCTTCTCCCTAAGGAGTCCTAATAATGGTCTATGTACTCATAAAACAACTCTTTGGTTTTCAGACATCATGGTTATTAACTCTCAGACTTGCTAAAAATAGTTTGAAGTTCTTACAAGAAAGAGCTACTTAAAAACTTCTCTCCACTGATATGTTTCTTCTGTGAAAAAGAGAGACTCTCAAATCTTACAGCACCACTGAAGTGTTAAAAGTATAATTTCTCATGTCCTTAATTCACCCCCAACTCAAAGTGTGTTTTCTCTCTCAAACCATTCAGAATAATTTCTGTTACCAATTCAGCAGATGCTCTCAATTTCAGATTCATTTCTTCCATCTAATTGTTTCTCTTTTTGTTTAACAGCTTTATTGATGTATAATTGATATATAAAGAATGAAACATATTTAATGTGTACAATTTGATGAGTTTGGACATAGGCAAACACCCATGATGCCATTACCACAATCAAGGCAATAGACATACTTCCCAAAGTTTTCTCATGTTTTTGTGTATGTGGGGTGTGTGTGTGTGTGTGTTTGTGTGTGTGTGTGTATGTGTAGTTGGAGTACCTAACATGAGACTTGCCCTTTTAATCATTTCTTATTGGCCATTTGCTTTCAGTTTGTCCGTGTATTGAGTGGTAATTGAGCAGGCCCATTCTTAATAAGTTGGAGCCATCATCTCCCTCACTGAAGGTACTGGGCTTCAATTAAAACAAAGAAAATGCAGTGCAGTATGTAAGGGACAGTCAAAAAATGTGTTGTCCAGGCTAACGAGCAATTTTTATTACTGAGGTTGCAATGGTCTGAATTCATGTTGAAATCCTAACCCCGAGATAATTGTATTAGGAAATAGAACCTTTAGGAGGTGAATAGGTCCTGAGAGCAAAGCCCTCATGAATGAGATTAGTGCCCTTATAAAAGGGACCCTAGAGAGTTCTCTTCCCACTTCCACAATGTGAAGACACAGTGAAAATATATGCATCTATGAACCAGGAGAGACACTATCATCAGACACAGAACTGGCTGGTGCCTTGATGCTTGACTCCCCAGTTCCCAGAGCTATGAGAAATAAATTTTCCTTGTTTATAAGACACTACTGTATTTTTTTATTATAATAACTTGAACAAACTACTATAGAAACTTGGCACTGAGAAGTGGGGATGCTGCCATGATAAATACCTAAAAGGTGGAAGCAGCTTTACAACCAGGGAATGGGCAGAGACTGGAAAAGTTTTGAGGTGCATGCTGGAAAAAGCCTACACTGCCATAAATGGACCTGTAAGAGTGTTTTTGGTGACAGACCAGAAAGAAAAGAGGATAACTGAAGACAGAGCCTCAGTCTTCTTAGAGAATATCTAAATAATCCTGAACAGAATGTTGATAGAAATATGGATGGCTAAAGCCAATCGGATGAGGTCTCAGACAGAAATAAAGAACATGTTATTGGACAATGGAAGAAACACAATTCTTGTTATAAACTGGCAAAAATATGGCTGAATTGTGCTTGTCTTCTGGTGTTTAATGGAAGGTAGAACTTTTAAGCTGCAAAACTGGATATTTGATTGAGTCAGTTTCTAAGCAAAGGGTTGAAGGAGTGGCCTGGTTTTACTTGACTGCTCCTCATAAAATCTGAGAAGAGAGAAATGACTTAAAGACAGAATCATTAACTAAAAGAGGCCAGGCATGGTGGCTTACACCTGTACGAATCCCAGCTCTCTGGGAGGCTGAGGCAAGTGGATCACCTGAGGTCAGGAGTTCAAGAACAGCCTGGCCAACATGGTGAAACCCAATCTCTACTAAAAAATACAAAAAGTAGCTGGGTGAGGTGGCAAACACCTGTAATACCAGCTACTCAGGGGGCTGAGGATGGAGAATTGCTTGAACTCGGGAGGTGGAGATTACAGTGAGCTGAGATCATGCCGCTGTGCTCCAGCCTGGGCGAGTGGCAGAACATAAAGATTAAAAGGAGGCAGAATGTAAAGATTTTGAACATTCTTGTCTATCCATGTTGGAAAGAATAAGAGAGCCTCTTAACCTTCTCTATTCAGGAGAGAACCAGAAGGATGTGGCCAAATAACCATGTGTTAAGGAGATCAGTCAGCCATCCGAACAGAGGCCAGGAGCTGTTGTACAAGACAATGAAAGAATGACCCCAAAGGTAATTAAAAATAATCCAAGACTGCCCTTCTTATCCCGAGTCCCAGTGAGCAAGGGGCCACTGCAGAGGGCCTCCATTAGGGCAAAGTGCAGAGGAGCCTCCATTAGGGCAAAGTGCAGAGGCTGTATGAATGACCCTAGAACAGTAGAGCCACACACATGGGAGTCCAGCCATTGAAAAGAGCTGGTTCAAAACCCAGGCACAAAGCTGTAGTTGGTGTGGGACCACCCAAAGAGGCTTCTCAGAGACTTGGGGGCCCAACCTGGCAATACAGGGGGTATAGGACAATTACTCCAATGTGCGTAAGGTGAGACCTCTGCCCTAGTGGGCATGGAACATACAGAGCCATAGAAGATTATTCTCAAGACTTAGGATCTAATGTAATTTGACCTGTTGACTTTCCAGCTTCCTTGGGATCTGTTACTCCTTTCTTCTTCCCTATTTCTGTTATTTTGTAATGCGTGTGTCTATTCTGTGCTTTTCCCACCATTGTAGTTCAGAAGTGCATAGTACATTTGATTTCACAGGTGGACAGCTGAAAAGCAGTTTGCCTCAGGATGAATCATACTTTGAGTCTTGCCCATATCTGATTTAGATAATGTTCACAGGAGACCTCAGACTTTTGAGATGATGCTAGGATGAATTAAGACTTTGGTATTATTGGATTGCAATGCATGCATTTGCAGTTAAGAAGGATGTGAATTTTGGAGGACCACAGGAAGAATTTGCAACCCCCCTTACAAATCTATATGTTCAAATTCTAACCTCAAGGTAATAATATGAAGAGGTGGTGCCATTAGGAGGCGAGTAGACCATAAAAGTAAAGCCCATATGAATGATTTCAGTGCCCTTATGAAAGAGGCTGGAGAGAACTCCCTTCCCTCTTTCACCATGTGAGAATATAGTAGAAAGACAGCCATCCATTAACAGGAAGTGGGCCCTCACCAGACACAGATTCTGCTGGTGCCTTAATCTTGGACTTCCCAGCCTCCAGAACTGTGAGAAATAAATTTCTTTTTTTTATAAGTCACCCCACCCAGTTTGTGGTGTTTTGTTATAGCAACCTACATGGACTAAGACAGAGACATACAGACCCTTTGAGTAAGAGCCTGCCCTCTGAATGACGTTAGATGTTGATATTTATGCCAAATCTGGATATATCAATGAACTTATGTAAATGATGGAGTATCATCTTTATATCAAGCAGAATATAATTAATTATCTACTCATATATCTAAGTCTTTGATATTAGTTACGTTATTATTCAGGACCTTCCTCATATCACTACCCAGACCCTGGAGGGCTTTATATTGCTGCCCCATCATTAACTGGTTTACTAAATGTCTCCCAGCTCTAGTTACTTCATGTGCAGAAAATACTAACTATGATACCCCTTTCTTGAACTTATTGTGAGATTCAAAAGAAATCCACATATAACCTCTTAGGACTGCAATTTGGCATATCATCCTAAATATTATCTGCTATCATTTTCATAGCTTTCTGAATTAGATAAAAATATATGAGATGCAAAGGTATAGAAGATATATCATGGCATACAATTTAAGGGATATAGTATAAGAAAGAATAGTCATCCTGAATGTAGCAGATCCTGTTTATGCCAATTCCATGTCACTTAAATTATGCATTCTAACTTTTTTCTTCATGTCTAAATAAAATTGACATTTAGAAAAGCCACAGTGACTTGACACATTGACTTAGAACAACTCTAAATAAATTCTGTTATTGGCAGAGGCATTTTGACCATTAGCAATAGTTTGGCCATATAAAAAAGACCTATTTTTATGAGTAAGGATTTATTTATATGAAGCCATGATAGGGATCAAATAGAAGCTAATATGTGAAGCAAAGTCAGGAAAATTAGCAAATGTAGATATCACTCCTCATATTCTCCCATAGCCAAAGCTAATAAGTGTGTATTTATATAAATTGATCAGAGCTATTATTACATGCTAGATGGTTATCTTATATGAATTGTGATACTTATGTAATTCAAAAACCCTAATCATAGTTATTAGCAAAACAGTTGCATAAAAATCAATTAGCCTTTGCACTGTAAGACATTACAAACTAGCGCATTATTTCTGCCTCACAATACATTTATTTCCCAAGCCTATATAAAATATTTTCAGTATACAATGGAAGAAACAATATTCCTTCGGGAAAGTTCTGGAGTTGTCTCTGTGAACTTTCCAAGGTCAGGATTATGAGATAGCAAATTCTTGATTCTCTGAATCATTACTCGTGTGTTTTCCTAACTTGAACTTACACAGATTTATGCTCATTTTACCATTAAAATGAAAAAAGACAAGACTATATGTATTGTGATTTATAGGACTTGCATTCTTACCCAGGATGAATACATATCCTTATATTTGAAATCTGAAAAATTAGCAATACTTCTTAAAGTATGGTAAAAAGTACAAAAGATTATTTTTCAAAGTTATATTTGGGTTGCTTTTCTCTAGCACAGGGAAATATTTCAATCCAACTTCTGAAGACTCCTTATATTTTCTCTGTGTTTTAAAGTTTTTGTAAAATATCTTTATCAATTCTGCAATGAAACTGTTGAGATTTAGAACCTCTCTGTCTGTCCTTCTCCCCCTGCGCTTTCTCTCTCTCTCTATCTCTCATAGACAATGACTATTCTTTCCCGGGGCAATTTCTATTTGGCAATAAACTCAGAGACATTTCCAAAGTCAAGAAGAATGAGGGGAACTGGGGATTACAAAGTTATAAAATGCAAGTTGTCTTGTTAAAGCATAAAATGATTGCAGGAAATGTCACTCCAGGGGAACAGTGTCTTGCCACTGATTTTTGCTAATGGAAACATTTGATCGACTCCAAGGAGAACGTTGCTTCATGATTACTAGGGCAGTGCCATTATTCAAAATCTCAGTCTGATTTTAGCACTAAGGATGCAGTTTTAATGCCCAATGATACTGAGTTCTTTTCAGCAATAAGTGACTCTTAAAAGGTTCAGGAATATTGGTTAGAAGAAGTCCTACCCTTAAAGTTTAGATGGCAGGATATGAATCTTAAATTTTTTGTGAACTTGAAACAATGATTTAACTTTTCTGGGCTTATCAGGATTGTGGAGTTCTCTCCTATTGATCCACCTAGATTTTCTAGTTGCCATCTGTCCAACAATTATTCATTGTTGGTTTATTGATTAATTGATTCAGCAAATATTTGTGTAGTGCTTTCCATTATATAAATGAATGCACAGCAGCTGTACCAAAGTTTTACTACTGACTTTGAGCTTTAGTTTAATTGATGGATCATGAAATTAGCTTCAACATGCTGTCAAGTAACTTGATTTAACCCTAAAGTAGGTACTCTAGAGCTCAAGTAGAAAGACATCTTGTTCTTTGCCAAGATTATAGACTTACAGTTCATTAGAATAGTGAGCCTCCTTCTAATAGTTTATAGATTTTTTTCCTTTTTAAAAGTATATTTTATGTTAACAATTCTATGGTATTTGTTAGCACTTTAATAAAAACTGTGTCCCATTTTTGATGGAAAGCATCTTACCTTATTTATTTGGCATACTGGTATTCATTAATTTCCCAACATTTCCTCTAATTTACCAGGTAAAAAGTGCTGTGCAAAGTGCTCAGGAGCAGCATGATATATCCGACATGATCTCTCATTTTCTTTTTTTTTAAGCAAGTACTTAGCACCTACTATGTTTTATTCTGGCCCTTGAGAGTCACAGGCTACCTGAGATAAAGTCTATATATTTAGAATCTAACAGTATTAAAAGAGGAGCTAATATGTTAAGGCCAAGTACCATTAATACAAGGAAGAATATCCATTTATAACAGGGGAGCACAAGGAGTAAAGGAAATTCTTTCAAAATTAAAGAAAAACATTTATTATAAAATTATTTATGTATTTATTTGACATCCCTCACACATTTCAGTCAAATGTAACCAGTCTAAATAATTGAACATTTATGCAACAAAAAACAGACTATTCTATGTTTCTAAATATGGACCTGTCCTGCAATAGCCTAATAATAATATATTCTAAACTAAATAACAGTATCCAGTGTCAATTTATAAATCAAATAAATGAGCATATTTACTGTCAGTTTAGAAAAATATATATATAGCTTTGTTGCTCATTTGCCACAGGAAAACCACCACAGAATTATTCTATATTTTTAAATTATATTTTATTTGGGTTATAATAAACTACATAGTGACTTAAAGGAATGGAACAGAGGATGTCTTTGTTTGTTTGTTTTCATATGCTGGACATTAAAGAAATTTCCAAACATAGCCCCAGTGCATCCCAGATGTATTTGCAGATTTCAGGCTCTTATTCATTTATTTTAAAATGTTGCTTTGAAATCATCGCTAACATTTTTTGAACGCTCATCCTATCCAGAGCTCCCTTTAAGTGTTTCCTAGGTTCCATCTCATTTAATCCTGACAATCATTGCATGAGGCTTTTTTTTTTCAGATGAGAAATCTGAGTTAAAGGTTGAGCAACCTCCATAAACCAGAGTTTTGCTGAATTTCACAGTCTGAGACATTTCTTCCCTGGCAGATGAGTCACAAGATAATAAGTTGTGGAGGAATTACAAGTCTAAGTTTTTAACCAACTGAAGCTGTTGTACATGTGAAAATTGAACCAACTACTTTGTAGCCAGATCAGCATATTTCACAGTCACCTCTTTTTTGCTTTCTCTGCAGAATTCCACACATGGTTCTGCTTAATGTTAAGCTACGCATGGAGACCTGGTTTAATTGTAACAGAAGTGGCACTTTTTCCCCATTACTGCTACTGCAGGAAGAAGTGACTTTATGTTAACTGAAATGCACAACTTATGTAGTGTATTATACCTGAATGTTACAAAGTTCTTAAGAAATTGACAGTTTAAGTCCTGTTATTTGACTTATACTGGAATAGTGTAGGAGGTGGATTGTACTAAAATTGAGCAAGTGAAAAAATGAGATTAAAAAAAAATGCCCCAAACAGGCAATTTCTCTTTAATTGAACTATATCATGTAATATTGTTTATTTCATTGCATTATTTTAATTAAAATCAAAAGTGCTGTTACTACCACATGTAGTCCGTTTAGGTAAGTTTTTGTAATATAGTTAGCATGTCATCATATTTAATATTTCTTAGAAATATGCTTGGTAGAAAAATGGCCACATGGAAATCATTTTATTTTTCTTTGTTCAAATTTGCTGTCACATAATTTTACATCAGCAGTTAATACTGTTCTAAGCTTGGGAGAAGGCATTAAAACCATTATTTGGAATCTTATTTGAGGATCTGGGTACTAAAAACACATTTGGGTAGGTGTAATCTATTTAAGAAAACACAGATCACGTATTCCTCTGAAGCTACTTTTTTTAAAATGTTGAAAATATTAAGAAGTTGGAGATGATAACTAAGAATATTGCTTGCATGCGAATAACCTTGGCATTATAAAGTGAAACTAAGTGGATCCAAATAATTTAGTGAATATTTGGACCTCCTATACTAATTTTCTACTTTAAAAATGTCCATATTGAAATTATTCAAAGCTGAAAAGAGGACAGTTGCTTGAGCTGAGAAGAGTTATCTACCTATCTAACTAGATGCACATGTAACTTCATATGTGGAAAATTTATAACTAAAAGTATATAGGCAGTTTTATCATCTTTATCATTCTATTATTATACATTGCTAGTTGAGACATTAAAGATGTTTGATAATCATATTCCTCAGTTTTCTTCTTCTTCTTCTTCTTCTTCTTCTTCTTCTTCTTCTTCTTCTTGTTTTTCTTCTTCTTCTTCCTCCTCTTTTTTTTTTGGTGGGGGTTGAGGTGGAGATAGGGTCTCCCTCTGTCACCCAGGCTGGAGTGCAGTGGCACAATCATGGATCACTGCAGCCTGGAACTCCCAGGCTCAAATGATCCTGCATCAGCCTCCTGAGGAGCTGGAACTACAGGCAACTGTCACCACACTCAGCTCATTTTTTTTTTCTGTTATTTGTACAGATGTGACTTCCATGTGTTGCCCAAGCTGGACTCAAACTCCTGGGCTCAAGTGATCCTCCCCGCTCGGCCTCCCAGAGTGCTGGGATTACAGGCATGAGCCATTATGCCCAGCTATATTCTTCAGTTTTTACCAGGGAAAAGGTTATGTTGTTTCAAAAAACAGAATCATCCATAGAATAAATAGGAAGCAAAGTAATTTAGTCAGATACTAAACTAAATTCCCCTAATCAAAGGTGAGACCCTCTGTCCCTAACTCCCTGGATTTAGGGGAGGAAAAAAAGGATTGTAAACTTTGAGTAGATACCAAGACCAAGAACATGGGAGTATATATTATATCGCTGAATCCTGTATGCTGGAGGATGCTGCCTCCTCTTGGAGACTTCTTCCCACGTAGAACCATATATTCGACTTGTCTTCTCCTACATCGTTCCAGTCTCTGAGATCTTTGCCTGAGAACTAACCTCACTTAATTTATGCAGTCTTATCATTTTATCTTCCATGTTCAGTTTTGGCTTTTTGTTAGCTCTGGCTACCACTGATTTGATTGGCAGATGAGAATGTACTGATTATCTGCAGAGATGATTGCTTTACGAATCCAGTAGATGAAGAAGATTTATATTGATGATTGATTATTGGCAATGGTCATTTGGTTTTGGAAGCCAATTGAGCTAAAGGTTTTTTATTTCCCTCTTGTAATGTGTGTATATCAATGTATAAACACATAGATGCAGCATTCCAACTAACATAATCTGTGATAAATATGTCCTTCCAGTTTTCAGGAAATATTTTTGAGAGTGGGACATGGATATAATAGGATGAGTTAACCATGCTCAGTAGTTCTCAGCACGCTCTTGTCAGTAGCCTGTGCGAGGCTTCCTCTCCTGCTTTACTGATTTCCTTTTCTCCTCCTTTTTCACACACATCCTTCTCATCCTCTCATGAACAATGTTTCTAAAATGTTGATGTATATATTTTTCTTGTTATGTATAATTTCTACACTTTTTGTGTACATGAATTTTTTATTCACCTAAGTTGTATTATACAATAGATCTTACTTGATTTTTAAAATTTTTCTTGTACTATGGCTTTAAGATCTATTCATGTTATGATGGGAACCTGTAGTATATTTCTCCCAGCAAATTTTTTAATGATAACCATCCAAGTAGTTACTAATCCTGTTGTGCATCAAAATATCTTATGGAAATTTTTGCTTATTTGTTTTTGTTTTGTTGTAAGACATATATACTAGATGCCACTCCCAGAAAACTCTCATTTGGAGATCTAGAGTACCAGCAAGTTTTAAACCTTTGTAATATTGGGGTTCAGTCAAGATTGAGAATCAAAAGTAGGTTCCAGCTCTACACAATTCCTTATATTTCAATTCATACCCTTTATGTTGTAAATCCCAACAATTCAATTAAACCTGTTGCTTGAAGAGTATCAGTGTCCAATTAATGCTAATGTTTTAAAATAATAGGTTCGCTGGAACCTTCTGCAGGATCTGATATTAATTTGTGACTCCTCCCACTTAAAAGGTTATCTTAGTTTGCCTCTTCGCTTTTCCCAGTGTCTGAAATATAGAGTTGGGTACAAGCAGTGATTTTTGGTGTCGTCGTCTTTTGTTTTTAAAATTTTGTCTTAGGCTGGCCGGGCGTGGTTGCTCACACCTGCTATCCCAGCATTTTGGGAGGCCAAGGCGGGCAGATAACTTGAGGTCAGTATTTCACGGCCAGCCTGGCCAACAAGGTGAAACTCCGTCTCTACTAAAAATACAAAAATTAGCTGGGTGTAGTGGCAGGCGCCTGTAATCCCAGCTACTTGGGAGACTTAGGAAGCTACTCGGGAGGCTGAGGTTACAGTGAGCCAAGATCGCACCACTGCACTCCAGCCTGGGAGACAGAGGGAGACTCTGTCTCAAAAACAAAAACAAAAACAAAACTAAAGAAATAGAGTGAAGAAACAGAAGGTGATCAATGGAAGCAAGAAAGCCAGTTAAGTTTACATTATTGACATATATACCATCATGGACAACTGTGACTCAATCCTGTTTCTGACCTATGGAACCATGGAAACTGTTCCACAAAAATGTTCTAGCAAATGATCAGAATGTGGGCATTTATCCAATAAGTTCTGCAGCTCTTTGTTTGAGGATTTACCCTCTACCCCACCCCAGGTGTTAAGTGAGCTCCCCTTCCCCTGTACTGTCAGGCTGTGCCTATGCGACCAGATGAGCAGTCACTCGACATTGGAGAAAGCCTAAAAGCTGCCACAGGGTCCCTTGAGATGGGATTCTGGAAGTTTGCAAAATGCTGTTCCCCAGTGCTACGCTGAAACTAGCGGGGCCAAGGGAATGTATTGTGGACCTCAAGTAGTGTCTGCTTCCAATGACTTTCTCTTACTATCGTATTCTTCTTTGTTCTTTTTTTTCTTCCTGCCTGAAAATAAAAATATGTTCACATACCGTGTAAAAATCTAACACTAGGCAAGACAAGATCCTTTCCCATTCATAACTGCTTGATTTAATGGGAAAGGCAGATCATTCAATCCAAAATGGTGGTGGAAGAGATATGCAAATGGAACAACTGAGACTGTTTTTGCAAAATCACCTTAGGAAAGTCAGAGAAGGCGAAGTGGGAAGGGCTAATCCCTGAGATGCATCTTAAATAATGTTTACAAGAAAGCCCATGACAGAAAACAACCTGTTTCATTATCATGCACTCCGATTATTTCCCTTCCATGTGCTTGCAGAAATAAATTATTCTGTTCTTGGCCTTCTCTCTTTACACATATTCTCATTGTCATTATGTATAATTTACCTTCTTTATTTGAGCGATTATTTGATTAATGTTGGGCTCCACAATTGACCAGAGGCCATTAGAACAGAAATATCTGTTTCCATTTATCTTCCTTGAATCCCAAGTCCTAACATAGTGCCTGACATACAGATAAATAAACAAACAGATGAAATGATAGAGTCCCAGTATTGATATTTAAGAGTCCAATGCTTTAGCAATCCCTTTAATATAAACTTAATGTATGACTTTAGGAAGGTCATTTTTCTTTCATGGGCCTCAGTCTTCACAGTTGATTATTGCATTTAGAGTCCTAAAATGGACCTTCTAGTTGAGTCTTTAATGACTCAAAATACCATGAAGATAACTTTGGCATTTTGTTTTTCAATAAATCAGTAATAGCCATTCTTTGTTGAGGCCTTTGCCTTGGAAAAGAATCAACCATCTTTACATAGCCATATAGCATTTACTTCCTCAGACTGTGGCTCACATCTACACAGGTCCAAACCCTTACCTCTCTTAACCCTTTACATACAGTGCACTTTTATATAATCTTATGCTAGAAAGAGAAGTGTTTATTATTTGAATATCAAACAACATAGACATGAGCATGCTTCCATTTGGAAAATCTTCTTGGTTCTATTGTCTGAAATATCCACCAAGTAGATCTGTAACCAGGGAATATTTAAAGCCACTGTATATTTTGTTCTTTATTTTTAAAAAGAGTGTTTTTTTAAATAAAGCATGTGGAATTGCTATGTTAATATAAATCAGGTAATGACAGAGTTGATTTGTAGTGTTGGGTCAGCCCTCATTATCTGGAAGATCCATGAAGTCTCAGATGTGTCACTAAGTCATACAGTCTTTGGAGAGTTGGGGCAAAAACAGAGATCTGGTAAATTCACTGTGAAACATGGTTGCCATAGACAATCATGGCCTGTTTCTAAAAGCAGAATAAATCCTCATTGGTAGAAAGTCACAAGATGATGGCCCAAATAGTCTTATTTCATGCATCCAGGCCTCTTGTTACCCTCTTGTGTACCCAATTACAAAGTCAGGAGAGAGGTAAGACATTCACAATGGATGTGCCTCCTCATATATAGAAGGATACACACGACCCTACTGGGTATGCATCCACAACTGCAGAGAAGAGAATACACTCTGAGAAAAACTATCTAGTGAGCTACACATTTCCTTCAAACTTTCTGAGTTGTCAGCAGAACACAATGTCCCGTGCCAAAAATTATGTCAGCCTTTCCCCCCAGAAATCACTCCATAAAAATTTAAGTCTGTGCCATTTCAAATTCATCTGAGAAAAGGAGAGATAAAGTATCCTTAAATCAAAGAGATTTATGTATTCCAATAAAGCTGCAAGATTTTGTTTTGATAGCAATAATGCAAAAGCCCACAAATTAAATGCTCTTGAGGAATGATTATGGCTACAGGAGTTATTTTGTTTTTATCAGGATTGAATAGCTGTGTAACTTGTCTCTTATAGTTGTACAGATTGCAGTTGTATTGATAAGTGGTTTATGAGAAATGGTGTTGAATGAGGAGGAAAGTACAATTTACTTTTAATTTGATTTCATTTGGTAAACCTGACTTCACAGCTTGTGTTGTGCTTATTTATTATTCACCATCCATGATACAAAGTAACCTGCCACCAGGGACATCAATTATGACCCCCCACCTCCCCACTCAATGAAGATTGCTGTCATCAGAAGGAATGCCACGCTCTCTGCCCATGTGTCAGTGATGAGTCAATGTAAAATTTCCTCTGACCTCGAAGGGAGTTTCTGCTTCTTCTCTCTCCCTATTGCCAGAGGGTCCTTTACTTTACTTGGCATTCACTAAAGAGCCACAGAGGCAGAATAGACTGATCAAGCAATCCAGAGGCCAGTCAAGATAAATTAGATGCTTAATTTATATGCCAGGCTTTGCAGACAGACTAATTACACAAAGACAGTTTGATAAAGTAATATAAGACTCTGCACATATTAGCCAGAGCCTGCTTCCGTGAAATTATTGCTGATATATGTGCTATGGGCTTTGAGATTTCATATGCGCAATTGTTCAGCGGGCACTATGAAACACATTCTATAAAGGTATTAAGACTGGGTGCTATCTGCCAATCTTTTCTAATTTTATGCTGCCACTAAGAGACTATTCTTCCTTGGCTTTGTGATTTTATAGCACTCATTGAGATGAATGTGAAACAGTTAAACAGGAAATCTGAAGATACGATGGCCAAGAAAGACACTGGAAATGAAGCACAGACAATTTTCATGGACCAAGCCACTAAAATATTGGTGAAAATGGGCCTTTTGAAGAATCACGCTGGATCTAAAGCTCTTGCCTTATCTCTTGAGAATTCAGTCTGAGTGACCAGAGACACAGAATACAAGATAGGAGCTGAAACACACCGATAGAACAAGAGAAACCTTTGGCTGCTAATGTTATATTGCAAGATCACAGGATCAAGGACAGACTTTATATTCCAGAACTTTGTGTTTGTGGACAGTGGCTAATAGGGGCAGCCAATAGCTCATGTTCTTGGAATAGCTTTAAACACTGTAATTGAAATGTAAGCTTCACCTAATTGCGTAAGAGAGGCCAAGAATTGACTGCATTTAGTATAAATACTAATGGAAAGAAAAGGATATTTTAAAGTGAAGGGTATGAGAGATGAGATAATTGGGAGAAGAAAAGAGTTTTAGGTAATTGAATGAGAAGTTTGAGGATATTAGTAGAGCCAGAAGAGAAACAGCTCTCACAATTACAAGAAGGTAAAATTTTTTAAAAGTTCCCAGATATGAGAAGATAGCATCAGAATCACACACACACACGTGCGCACACACACACACACAAAGAAAAGTATTCATTTATTACCAGAGAAGGATATTTAAAGCAAATACACATATAAAATAAACAAAAAATGTATCCAAAAAGTCATTGCGGCAACATACTAGGACACAGAATTTCTAGATGGGATAAGCACTGCCTATAGCAAAGTCAGACCTGAATAAATTTCCTCTGATTGTTCTACATGTTACGCTTCCAGTATAGTGGCTGCTCCCAGGTGAATAATGGTGCAGAGGTCATGGATATCTGGGCCATCGTATACATTCATTCCTTTTCCTAGTTAGTTTTTAAGAGACACTTTCATCCCTACCTGAACTTTGGTTCGGAAACCTCATAGGGTCAGAACCTTGTTTTCTGACTTTGAGTTAAGGGCTCCCCTGGGGCTTCATAGAAGTTTTGACATTAAAAGGCCTCAATGTAGCTTCTCTAGAATTTCCGAAGAAAGTTTCAATTAATGATTTACAATTTCTCAAGGGAATGTGTTAAGTTCCTGGACATCTAAAATCAGCTTCAAAAAAATTCATGTTCAACCCACGATTTAGCCTTTCCATAGTGTTAGAGTACCTAATATCTCCTCTTTGATCTGTAGAATGATCAAGAAAATAATTGTGGCTACAGACAAGTGCCTTTACATCCCTAAACTCCATGATACTTGGTTTGCCAACAGAGTTTCCTTGGCAACATGCTTTAGTTATGTGTTACGCTCTCTAATTCCTCCTCTGACTCAATTTATATCAGCATGAACTTGCTTTAACAACAACAACAACAACAGCAACAACAACACCACCACAATCCTATATTGAAATTCTTTACTGAATCATAAACTGCTGATCACAAGTGCATGCTGGGAGGTAACATAGCATCCTCCATAAGTATAAAAGGTCTGTAAGTTCTGAAGGTAGACTTCCTCAGTTCTGTATTTTGCCAGAATGTAATGTTAGACATGTTATTTTTAAATCTTCAGATTATAATTTTTTGTCAGTTTATTTAATAATATAGCAATAATAATGCCTATGTCACTGGATTGCAAAGGGAATTAAATAGCATAATGTGTGCAAGAAGCTTAGCGGCATGCTTGGCACACAATTGGCATTTAACAAAATTTCAGCTGCTACAGACTTCTCACCAGACTAGAACACTTTTTTTTTCTAGAAACACATATGGATAATATTTCAAATGAAATAGAGAGTGAATTCTTTACAATCTCAAAAGTACAGTGCTCTCAGTTTCACACAAAAAATGTATACTTCTCTTTAACAGATACACAGATGAAGATGACATCTATGGAATCTTTTCCTTGCAATTGATGCATTCTTTAGTCCAGTAATATCATCTCACTTTGTATCCAAGAGATCCTCTCTGTTCATGTAGAATTCAGGTAAGTCCCCTAAACTTCTTGGTTTTCCATCTGTGGAAAAATTGTGGTGGGAATATTTGTACACCAGTGCTACTATTTTATGGCTTTCAGTTACCAGACATATAAAAACCTCAGTTTTATCTAAAAAGTTAACTTTAATATAATGTTTCATCAGTGACTAAAATATCTTCATTCCTGGTTTATTTCCAAGTTTAATTTCTAGCCTAATGACATAGAAATGACTAATTCCTCTGGCACAAGAAAGTAATCAGTAAATTAAATATTCTTATGCCTGTATTCCAAACTTAAAATTGCTTGTTGGAAGTAAGGATTGAATGGAGTATTTGATTACTATCTTGAATAAATTTATTAATTTATTCAAAACTCATTTGAGTGTCTATAATGTGCTAGATACATGCTAACTTCTAAAGAAAAAAGTATATATATATGTTTTTATATTTGCTTTATAATTCATAAAGTGCTTTTGAGTGACATTATCTATTTTAACATTTACGATAATCCGATAAGAAAGGTGAATGATCTCCCATTTTAAGATAAAGAGTTTGATTGTGGGAGATGCCAAGTGACTTTTACATCATCCTATAGTTAAGTACTGGACAGCAGGTGGAAACAATCTATTAAAATTATATGTCATTTCCAATCAAACTGTACTCATTCTAAAGTTTTGTGTTTGTTTGTTTTACCACGTAAGTCAGGAAACATCCAGTTCAATACTTGCCTTTGTCAAAACTTTAATCCTACGATAAATAAAATCTCCTTTCTTAGCCTGGGTCAGTTTTAGGATATACTGCATTTCTGAATGATGAACTAACACAGTGAAAAGCAATACATTATGCAGAGTCAGAGGGCCTGGAAAAATCAGCTGCTGTTGTTTTAGCTAATATATAATGATTTCAGGTTTTCTGACTAATGAAACAGAGAATGCCATGTTTCTCCCTAAATGGTGCAATTTCAGCTCTCAGGCTGGAACTTTATCAGAAATGCAGATTTAGAAAAGCAAAGTGGTCTATGCATCTGCTCAGTAGAATGGGCTATGTGAATGCTTGTGAATCTTTATTTTGGTAAACCTGATGATTTGAAAGCAGAGAGAATGATTAAGTTCCCATGATTAGTAAATAAGGGGTTTGGGACTCAAATCCATTTCTCTCTGGCTTCTAAACCACATCCCCTGCTCCTGTCTAATGGAGTCTTCTGAGTGTTCTTCTTTCCATTATGGGAATGGGGAAGCTCCTTCTTCTCTGTAGCCTCAGTGCCAAGCATATTATGGGTGTTCAGTAAATAGGTGGTGAATTGCCTGTGTGGATGAACTTTTCATCATAGCACCAAATACCTCCCTAAGTACTCCATTTTATGGGGCTGGAGGTTTTAAACTGGCCTAGCCAGGGTCAGTTGCCTTGTCATGTTATTGAAATTACTTATTAACACTGTTTATAACAGCCTCATCCAGAAAGTGATTGTTTCATGTCAGTGAACTCACAGCATCTGATGGTGTCTATTCCATTTTCACAGGTGCACCTGTACCCACACGCACACAAACATGGCAAAATGATGTTGTTATTATCTGTTTTTTTAAAAAAATATTTACTTGTGATTAGCTTATAAGCTAAAATCTGGCCCCTGAAATTTCCATTATGTTTTCTGTCCTTTTTAGGGGGACAAACATGTAGTTTAATTGTCTATATATCCATATATATAATCTCAATATTTATATTACAGTCCTTTCCAGCTATTGCCAATTAAATACAAGGCCACCAAGGTTATTTTTCTTCTAAAAATACTTTCCTTTGACCATCATGAGCACAACTAATACCATGACCAAGGACACTGTCTGTAAAATATCTCCATGGAATTTCAATGTCAGTGAAAAAAAATATGTAGAAAAGAGAATTACCTTAAAGGCAAGTTAAATATTGAGACAACACATACCTTGGTATGTATAGTAATTGCAAAAAACAATTTGATGAACGTTTAAAGTTCAAACTGCCTAGAATTTTTTTCCAATGAAAAGAATATTGCAATGCATTGTACATAAACAATGTATTGTAATTAAATATTATTCAATCTAAAACTGTATATTTTAAAATATATGCTGTTATTCCCAAATATATATGTTTATGTATATCTAATATATGTATATTAAAATTAATTTAACCCTCTATCTCCCAAAAAGATTTATCACAAAGTACATTTCAAGAGAGCAATGACATGTTTATATTTTGTTCACAGTTATACCTTCAATACCTCAAACATTACCGGCCATACAATAGGTAATCAATAAATGTTTATTGACTTCATTACCAATGAAACTAATCCTAAGAATTTCTAATGGTAATAGCTTTGTGCTAGGCATTAGCTTACCAATGATAATTCGAAGATGAATTTGATCTGTTCACCGTCTTTAAGGACCTACTAGTGTGTTGATTTTTATAAAAACATATAGGGTAGGCATCACTTTCAGTTAGTCCCATGTCCCAAAGTTGGAAGCCAAGGCTCTGTGAGACTGAAAGTCTCGCTCAAGTTCAACTATCTAACTGTGGCAAAGCCAAGGCTACAACAAATAATATCTATCAGAAATGCCTTTCAGAAATTGTTCTGTGTGCCAACAATTAAACTGCAAATGTTTAGAGTCAGGAAACTAAATGAGTAAACCTGAAGCAGCCCCTTAATGGACTCAGCCTCTGTCATGATTCTCAGTAAAAAAGCTAAAAGATACTTGGGGTGGTCCCAAGGAACTCAAACCTTTAACATGATTCATGAGCATAAGAAGAGCTCTTGGAGAAGGATTTTTCCCAGAGTCCCTAGAATTCCTGAAGCTATGGGTGGAAGACATGAGGGAAGTGCTGGGCCAGGGTTTTTATCTGTGAAAGGCACTGGTTTTGAAGCCTAAAATAAGGTCACATGGTTTTACTAATTTCTAGTGTTTTTTTACAAAAATAGTTATTATGAGCATTGCACATTGAGTTGTCACTTTGAACACCTGGCAGTTACAACAGTCTGGCTTTGTGTCCCAAAGGAAAGACGTACCGATACACTACCAAAGACTGGAACAAGTAGCACTACATATTTCTTCCATAAGTACATACGTTAATATATGTTAAGTGCCTTACAAATGGACATGTCTTTAAATCATTTATTTCTAATTTTAGGACAACGTTTTCAAGAAACAATCTCAAATAAGGATAGACTTTTTTGAGAAAATGGTATATGCATTTTTTTCAAATAATGGAAAGAAGAAAATATTCAACATACAATGGCCTTAGGGTTGTATGATGTGTGTGTGCGTGTGTGAGTGTGTGTGTGTTTTCATTTTGTGACTATGTAACTACTACCTAAAATAGTTAATAGCTGTAAATGCAAAGCATTGCTTTCATAGTGATAATTTGCAGTGGAAAATTATTTCACTTGATAGGATTTAACTTTCTCAAGGTATTGTTTCTTAAATAGCATATTCCTAGGCTCCAAAAGGACATATTTGTAGCAGTCTGAGAAAATTACATTTTTCCCTTTGGAAAAGAGATGATTCATTACTCAAATGTAGGAAATACTGTTTATTATAAAGTGTAAATCCAAGTATATAACATATACATGTGTTAACACACACAAACTTACACAAAATCCTAAAAGAAAATAAAAATGTTAAATATTATTTTATTTTCAGAATATTTTTATTTTAATGAATGTATACTTTCTTTACATCAAAAACAAGCAAAACAGTAAAAATACCGTAAAGCCATATGAAATTTACCAGTTATTGAATAATGAAGTCCAAGTACATCTTATTTAGTTTCATTGTCTTTTACTTAGAATCACTTTTAACTCAAAATTTTATGCTTCAGCTCTACAGCTATCAGGCCATTTTGTAGTTTACTAATTGGACAAGATCTGTTGAGAACATTTTAGCATTTTTTAGATCTTTAAACATATGTTCAGTAAAGTTACAATAATATTGCCTTTCTGATCAATTCTGGATTGTTTTAACACAGAAAAAGACATTTCCTATAGTTTCAATAAAAGTGTATTTTAAATTATTAACTGTATTACTATTAAGATTAATAATAATTTAATTATAGCCTGAGTGATGGATGAGTTTGATTCTCCACAGAGGAAAAGGATAAAAAGAAAGAGGTGCTTTTGAATCATTTAATTTGTTAGGGCATTTTACTTGTGAGGTTGGTATTATTAATGCTAGATTACGAGTTAGTGGGTGCAGCGCACCAGCATGGCACATGTAGACATATGTAACTAACCTGCACATTGTGCACATGTACCCTAAAATTTAAAGTATAATAATAAAAATAAATAAATAACAAAGTTAACACAGAGAAGGTAGCAACTTTAATCAAAGTTACATAAGTTGTATATAGGTGAGAATGCCAGAATTTGAATTTGAACCTTTGGTCTCTACAAACACTTTTTCACCATTCCTAGGCATTCCTGTCTCTTAAGTCCCCTTAAAGATGAAGCCAAGATTCTTACCTTGTCCCATGCAGCCCTTTATCTCTGCATGTCACATCTCACCCTCCCTTTACTGTCAGTTCCACTGAAACCAGCTTCCCCATGGTCAATCTGGAGACCCAAATTCACCTGGTATTTTTCTTTTCTTTCTTCAACTCAATTAAAAAATACTTCTACATCTTCTTCCTCGGGTTTACTGCTATGGACTACACACATCAGATGCTGAGAAATATGCAGTTAAGATACAGATATTCTTCAGAGTCATTTTCATCATCTGCTATTCTTCAAGTTATCTTTTAAATATGCTCTGAAGATGTTTTTAAAGTACAATCTAGGCCAGGCACGGTGGCTCATGCCTGTAATCCCAGCACTTTGGGGGGCTGAGGTGGGAGAATTACCTGAGCTCAGGAATTCAAGACCAGCCTGGGAAACACAGCAAAACCCCGTCTCTACTAAAATACAAAAAATTAGCCGGGCGTGTCAGCGGGCGCCTGTAATCCCAGCTACTCGGGAGGCTGAGGTGGTAGAATCGCTTGAACCTGGGAGGCGGAGGTTACAGCAAGCCGAGATTGTGCCACTGCACGCCAGCCTGGGCAACAGAGTGAGACTCCGTCTCCAAAAAAAAAAGGTACCATCTAAAACTTGAAAGGGGAGTTTCATAATTCCGAATGGCTATTAGAAAACACACACACGTGTGCACATGCACACACACACACACACACACACACACATCCCCCTTATATCTATTTCTATCTGTGCATGCTTATATGTCTATATTTTGCCATCAGACTCATGGTGTTCAAAAGCAACACTGGCTTTCATTGAATGCCCCTATAGCAATATTAGCAAAGTGCTATTGCTGCTGGCTCAGTGCTTATTTAAATGGAATAGCAGGGCCATTTCTCCCCATGTTATGGGCTTCGGTGCACAGCAGAGAGCAGCTAAGGATTTCTTGGCACACATCTGAGTGACTCTCCACAGAGGTCACCTAAGGACACAAGAAATTGGAGGCCAGATAAATATCCCTTTTGCATCTTCAAAGAGTGACCTTTCTAGGTGTGCTTAAAGGAATGGGATTTTTCTTCTACTGCCAAGGACAAGAATCTGGCCTAAGCTCAAATGTTAACAACAACAAAAAATGAATTCTAAGATGCCACTTCCTCATCAGAGCTTTCTAAGGTGGGAGCGTTCATTGTCAGTGTGAATTCTGTACCAGGAAGAAAATCACCAGAACAATGGTGCTAAATTTGAACCAGGGCACTGTAGGAAGTGTGGGTGCAAGTGTGGACTTTGTACACAGATGAACCAAAATTTGTACCTGTTCACCTGAGTTCTACCTTCTAGCAGTGGTCTTTTGTGATCTGATGGACCCCAAGATAACGATTTTAGAAAAGAGGTCCCAGGAAGTACCTTCTTACTTAGTAAGGGGGAGTGCTTAGCAGTGAGCCAGAGAGACTGGAAAGGATTAGTAGTTAACAAAGGATATTTTAATAAGCAGGTTACAGTTATGGGCAACTGAGCCTCAGTCCCATTGGGAAACTCTAAGAAACAGTATAGAACTTGCCTCAGATTTGTCCCACCAGGTAGGCCAAGAAGCTAGGTGTTTTTCTTCTAAATTATTTTAGTCATTGCCTGAAGTTACTTCTGAGACCATTAACATCATGGCACTCTAGTGGAGTGGCAGGAAGGCCCTATGAATATATATTGGAAACATGAGTATGATAGGAACATGGGTGGGGCCCCTGCTTTTCTAGGTAGGTGACTTAACTGCTCTTACCTTCATCTGTACATTGGGTAGAATCATCAGTGTTTTACAAAGTGTTATTAAACATCATCTGGAATTACATACATAAAATGTCTAACAATGCCCATTCCCAACGACTACACAAAGGAAAGCATAGCTATATTTCACTTTTAAGGGGTGATTGACAAAGGGTCCATTTAAATATTCTTAGGACACTATAAGTTTTAAGGCAGTCAACTCTCTGGGCCTCATGATGAAAGTCCTTGTAAAATAATATTTGAAGTGCTTTTATCTAAGGATAGAGGTGCTTTATTTGAAGGTAAGGATAGGGGTAAGAATGAATTATGAGCCCACTTACTAGGTAGCAAATGTGTATTAACTCCAGGGAAAGGAAAGGTCACGTAGAAGGAGGGAGGAAGTGAATTAATTACAAAGCATCTTGTTAAATAATTGTAAGAACCAGAGAAAAGGCTAAAAGAATTATGGTTCCACATGCTGACTGTGGCCATGTCTACACTGAGAAAACAGGTCAACTTATGTAACCAGGAAAAGAAAGAAAACATGCAAAGAAGAGGAGACAGCCTGAAACAATGAAATTTTCAGGTTCTATCTTGGTGCGTGGACATCTAAATATATCAATTTACCTAGAAGAGTTATTTATGCATTATGTTCAGTACCCTCTCTGAATATCTGTGCATGCAATGTCTGTGTTTAAGTTATCAATATATGAAAATAGGATCTTTCCTTGGGTTTTATAGGAAAGGTATAATTACCTTTTCATGTATAACAAGAACAGTAAAATATGCTATAACAAATAAAACCAATGCAAAATAATTTTAAGTCCATGTAAGGGTATTCTATTTGATATAATTAGGTAACTTAATTGCTCTTTTAGGACTATTTCAGATTCAAAGCTTAGTTTAAGCCTCATCTGAGATTTGAAATTTAACAGCGTGCAGTTCTATGTGAGATATGTGAAAGCAGACAGAGAACTGGTTTGAAATTATGACTGTGTCCTTTACTAGACAGAAGACAATAACATAACTCTGCAACCCTCAGTTTGCTGGGCTACCTGGTGAGAGTAACAATTCTTACCTTGGATGAAATATATTTGCCAGTCTAGAGTACTTCCTGGTGCTCATAGCATCATAACTCAGATATAATTCATTTAATCAGTGCTCCTATGGGATGTTTTCATAGTCCAATGCATGACATGTGGGACAGTTTCCGCATATGAGCCAGGATGAACAAATTACTGTGTGGCATGAATCTACAGAGTACATGTGCTAGAGGTACCACATATATTCATTACTGGAGGTGCCACATATATTCAATTATTCACAATATTTGTCAATGACTATCAAATATGGGACCATTTAAGAACCTTAGGAAAAAAATACACAGAAGATCTAGCTATAGTTTACAAGTTGTTTGTTTTAATAGGGAATCCATTTATATAATTAGCTATATAATTAATTACAATAAAGTATTGCTAGGGATGTTTGACAAAAATCAGGAATGAATAATTATGAGTAATATCTGCAGTTGACACTAAGGTAGGCAGTGAGGCATACGGAGGTAAGAACAAGAATCTGAAGACTGTGTGTTACAGCCCTAATTCTGGTACTATTAGAATGACTATAGGCAAGACATTTAACCCCTATATGCTTTAAATTTCATCATCTATAATATGGAATCCTTATGGGCCGTACAATTTTTTTGGTGGAGGGAAACACAGGGTGGCTAATTAGCATGTTGTCTGATGTGTGGCAGAGGCTAATTAAGTGTTGGCTTTTATTTTTATGTCTTAGATTTTATTTTATTTATTTATTTATTTTATTTTATTTTTTGAGACAGAGTCTTGCCCTGTCACTCAGGCTGAAGCACAGTGGCGCAATCTCAGCTCACTGCAAGCCCCGCCTCCTGGGTTCATGCCATTCTCCTGCCTCAGCCTCCTGAGTAGCTGGGATTACAGGCGGCAGCCACCACGCCCAGCTCATTTTTTTTTGTTTTTGTATTGTTTGTAGAGACGAGGTTTCACCGTCTTAGCCAGGATGGTCTCAATCTCCTGACCTCGTGATCTGCCTGCCTCAGCCTCCCAAAGTGCTGGGATTACAGGCGTGAGCCACTGCGCCCGGCCGTGTCCTAGATTTTAGACGAAGGGCTTTATGAATACCATTGAATTTGATCAATACGATGAACTAAGGCTAATGTCATACTCATTTTATAGATGGGGAAATTTGGCTTCAAGACATTATTTTAACTTGCCCAGTTTTACACAGATAATCTATGACTAAGACAGGTTTTCTTCTATATGAGTGCAATGCAAGCTCTTACCCACACCACCATATATGCTCTTTGAAAAATCAGACAAAGCAAGGAGAAAAGTCAGGATAATGTCTTTGTTGGAAACGCAGACTTGGACAATTAAAGGATGTTGGCATTTAAAAAGTGAGGGGGCCTGGGGTGCTTAGAGGCCAGGCACAGTGGCTCATGCCTGCAATCCTAGAACTTTAGGAGGCCAAGGCAGGAGGAGAGCTTGAGGCCAGAAGATTGAGACCAGCCTGGGCAATATAGAAAGACCCTGTCTCTACAGGAAAAACTAAAACAAAAACAAAACACTGAACAACTTAACTTGGCATGGAGGTGCGCACCTGTAGTTGTGGCTTGACTTTTCAAGCTAGAGGTCAGAGTGAGCTATGGTCACACCACTGCACTCCAGCCTGGGCAACAGAGCAAGACCCTTATCCCTCCCCTCCCCAAAAAAGGAGGGCTTATAATCTTATAATTGTGCCTGAAAAACAGTAGGTGGGGCTTGCTAATCTGTATCTAAGGTCCCACTCTGTTTGATGTGGTTGATAATGTAATCATGATTGAAGCTAAGATTTAGCTGATATTGAAGAGAGTTGACAAGAAAATAACCCCTCTTTCTAACAGGGCATATTGCCTTCTCTATGTAAGATTTTAATATATACTTAAAAAGGGCATAACCCAAATATCTTTTTTTCTACTCAAGAATCTAAATTAGCCTAGGTTCCTGAGACCAAGGGAAGACCCAAAAGAGAAAAACTGGTTAGTCTATGTGGGTGTTTTAAAAAGTCTGCTGTGAAAGTTCAGAAAACCAAATGACTAATTCAGACTGGGTACAGCTAGAAAGATGATCATGCAAGATTAGTCTTACCTTGAGGCTGTAAAAAGATGTGTAAGCTATTATCCTCCCATAATGAGTGTTTTATTGATAGTAGATTTTAACCCCCTTTGCTCAATTACCTTTTATTTTACTTTCTTCAAACCCTCCATTCTCTAGGTGGCCATCTATTCAGTTATCTGCTCCAAAAACAAGTCATTAAACATATCTAGCAGTAAACAGCAAATATACTGAAACTAGCCTATCTTACAAGGAGTACATATTCAGCAGGTTAAGATGAGTTAATGGGATTTCTTAAATCTTGAGAGGGGGTTTCCTTCAGCTGTGGTAATTAACATGTTTGAAAACTAGAATTAATAAATAATCATAGCAAGTTCAACTTCAATTACCATTACAAATGTTTGTATTTATTTTTGCAAAACAATTGACATCTAATTAGCATGTTAAAAGCTACTTGTGTTCACATATTAATCAGACAGCTTCTAAAAATCTTAAGAGTTATTTATTAAGGATAAGCCAGACATATGCATAACCATAATTAACTCATAACACTACATGATCTACTACTCAAATAACTGTTAGAACTATGACCATAGACTCACCTGTTTATTCATTCAAAAATATGATACAGCAGAAGCCCTAAAATACACTAAGATTATTACAGCTAAGTGATGTGTGTCTCCTCTATCTTACTCCAGAACGCTAAAACTTATAGGTACCAGAGGATATATATATATCCTACTAAACAAAACTAGCTTTGCTTATAAAGCTTCTTCCAAATTTTAGTGCCCCTATAATGGTTTGATCATGTTTTATTACTTCTTATTGCATTGTATGATAATATTTGTTTACAAGTTAAACATTCCCATGTATTGCGAACTTCCAAAAAATGATATTGAAGTCTTTTATTTTGTATTCCCAGTTCATGACATGATTGTTTAGAAAATAACAGACATCTACAAAGTCTATAAAACAGGATGGAACATCTACTGGTGTGATCTGTTCTTAAACTGTGCACTTTAAGTCTTTTTGAAGAAAGTTAACTCATGGAAAAGTTCAGGCTTTGACATTAGACAGACCTAGAATGAGAAGCATGCCTCGGCCCTGCTCTACCTAACGTGAGCTAATCATGTAACCTCTGAACCTCAGATACCTCATCTGTAAAGGAGGAATTATATTCCTTACGTCAGAGTGGTGGCAAGTATTTCATGAGATAAATATAAATTCCACCCGCTATGAACATTAAGAGACCTCTTTCCTGCAACTCATACATCAGCTATAAAAGGCTTCCCTTTCATCCTTAGCCCAGTTTGTGGCATGAAGTGAGCCCTTGGAATGTATAATTTTCCTTTGTCTCTTTTAAATGTAGAAATATGATAAACTTCAGAAATGAGATTGCATTTGCAGAAAATCCACACTGGTCCCAAGAACTCATTCCATTGCACAGCACTTGTTCAGCCTCTGATAGAAGGAAATGTAAATGTGGAGCCATTCTTATCTTTGCCTGGAAGTTTCCAATTGCATGGCTCTGGAGAGCAGTCTCACTGACTCAACGAATGTGGCTTGGCCCAGTTTGCATGCAACTTTGAGATGTTCCTTGGATTTCAGTAGTTCTGTCCTGCTCTCTCTGTCCCAGGGTATAATGTGTTTTCCCTGACTCAAACCTTCCTTGTTTGGAAGGCAGTAAAATAGTCTGAAAAGCAGTTTTTCTGTTTTTGTTTTTTTAATCAAATGGAAGAAAGTGGAACAGAGCCAGCTCTTGAAATGAAATATAAAAGCAAGCCAAGTGAAAATGCTAATATTTCAATTGCTACCCTGGGTACAGAAACTCAGAAGTGTTAACAAAGAAATCTGAGTTCATAGCTCAAGGAGCCCTTACTTCTATATAGCTTAGAATAGACATTGCCTTTGATAGCATGTTGAGAGAGAAGTCAGTCTACCCGGTTAGGTCATCTCTTGTGACTGGGACCTCAGTATCTCATTTTTCAGTGCCTCCATCATTGATTTGTTTGTTTGTTTGTGCTTTGTTTGTATGTTCAGCAGCAGCTTTTAAAATGTCTACCAATGATGCCCCATTTCAGGTATCTCGGCCCTTTTTATCCCCTCCCCTTTAGTCTAGGCTGGAACTAATGATTTGCTTCTAACGAACAAAATTTAGCAAAAGGAATGGGATATAACTTATGAGATTAGGTTATAAAAAAAGTCTGGTTTCTGTTTTGTTCAGCATCTCTTGCTTTCACATTTGTTCATTCTGATGGAAGGCAGCTGCCATTTTGTGAGCTGTTCTATGGAGAGGCCCACGTGGTTAGGAAATGGGGGACGCATCCAGCCAACCACCAGAGAAAAACTGCAGTCGTCTGTCCACTCACCCCAAAGAAACTAAATCTGAACAATAGAAAATATTATGAACTAAATAAAAATGAAATCGGTCGGGCGTGGTGGCTCACGCCTGTAATCCCAGCACTTTGGGATGCTGAGGTGGGTGGATCACGAGATCAAGTGATCCAGACCATCCTGGCCAACATGGTGAAACCCCATCTCTAGTAAAAATACAAAACTTAGCTGGGCATGGCAACGCGCGCCTGTAGTCCCAGCTGCTCGGGAGGCTGAGGCAGGAGAATCTCTTGAACCCAGGAGGCGGAGATTGCAGTGAGCTGAGATCGCGCCACTGCACTCCAACCTGACGACAGTGTGAGACTCCGTCTCAAAAAACAAACAAACAAAAATTAAATCAATCATGCCAAAACATATCAAATTTTTTGGGATGTAACAAAACAGTGCTCAGAGAAAAACTCATAACATTGAATTTTTATTTTGTAAAAAAGAAAGATTTCTGATCAATAATCTAGGCTTTCAACTTTAAAAAGTAGAGAAATGAGACAAAAAATGAATTCGAAGCACGTAGAAGAAAATAAGAAAGAAATAATAGCAGAAATCAATGAAATAGAAACAGAAAAGAACATAGGAAAAATCACTAAAACCAAAAGCTGGTTCTTTGAAAAAGTAAACTGATAAACATCTAGCAAGACTGACAAGAAAGAGAAACAAATAATCAATATCAGTAATGAAAGAAAGGTTATCACCACAGACCACATAGACACTACAAAAAATTTAAGAGAACACTACCAACAACTCTACACACATAAATTTAACAATTTTCAAGAAATGAACTAGTTCCTGAGAAGCCATAAACCAAAAAATACTCACTAAGAATGAAAGAAAACTTTATAGTCCTACAATTACTAAATAATTGAATTAATACTTAAGAAGTCAGTTTTATTTTCAAAGTTTTTGCAGAAGTAATCAGAACGGTTTCCTGTGTGTAGTACCCTGTGGCCTACCTGGGAACTTTAGAGTGGTCTATCCTGTTGGTCATTTTTTAAAGGCTAATGAATACTGCTTAGGGTCAGAATCATGCAAGAAGGGCTCATAGGTGATCCCAGAAGTTCATAAACAAATATATGATGTCTCCTTTTTGAATTCCTCTCTCTTCATCTCTTCTGTACTTTACAGCTCCCTGAGATTCCTTTTGAGAATTTTCACCCAGAAAGCTGGGGCTTTATTTACACTGTTCTGCCACGCACTTCCTATAAACGCACCTACATCTGGGGCCAAGTGGTAGAAAAAGAGAGAAAGGAAAAATAATCAGGAAGTTTATTTTATCCTCTTGAGACCCATGGTTTTCCCTCCAGTGTTCAGTGCCTATGGGCTATCCTGGCCTGAGGAACAATAGAATGAAGAAAAGAAAAATAATAGAAAAGAGAAGATTTTTTCTACTACCTAGGAATGTTAAGAGAACTCTTTCCTGCATCTCCTGCATGAACTATAAGCTTGTCTTTCAGCCCTCACTGCTAGGGCTATAGCCCAATTTCTGTTTTGGCATTGCCTTGAGTATAGGCTGGGAGACACTAAAAGGGGAGAAAAAAGATAATTCCAATGGTACTTAAATTCTTGTTTTCTTCCTCAATCTGCCTGTTGCTCTCTATTTAGAGTCCTCAAATAGCTGCTACATTTATTCTGTTCAGGTTTTACAACACATTCAGTGGGGAAAAGAAAAATACGTTTTTCCCTAAAATTTAAACGTGTCTCAGAATTGGAGTATTTCCTAATATTTTTATAGGTTTTGTTTCGTGTTAAAATAAAGAAATTCCTAGTACCACTCAGAAAATACCGTTACCTATTTCATGGTACACATTTTTTTAAATGAATATATGTTCTACTTCTAGGGGAAATGTATTTTAAAAATCCGTGATATGCACTATTGCGGAACGACTTAAGAGTAGTGTAAATATTCTCACGATGTAAAAGTGCATTGTACTGTCTGATAAATACGATAGGTTTTGCTGGCCTATGTCTTTGGAGGATCTCACTAGAACATTTGGAACTAAAAATGGAAAAAATGTGTCACAAAACTTTTGATGATTATTTGTTATTTTGAGATTTATGATCTAGGATTTTTGACTCATAAGAGGTCTAGCTCACCCACTGAACTGCAGTTAGTTGTCAGTACTGAGGCACCAAGCTTTAACTCAACAACAATATTCACCAGATGCTTGGGGTATAAAAAAGAAAAGTCATCAAAATCAATATGAGTCTATTTTTATAGAGAACTGTACTTCATAAATAGCACTCCCTTCATCTTACAAGTTCAGAGCACAGAAGTTTCTTCTTTTTGGAGTTGGTCAAAAGTCTCTCTTGCTTTCATTTTCTTTCTATCTCGCTTTCTTTCTCCCCTATCTCTTTTTCTTTCCATTCCTCAAATTTAAAATTCAATTTGTTAAAGGTTTATGTGGATTGATGCAATTATTTAAGAGCCATGGACTAAAAATCATACTGTGAAATTTCAATATATCAAGAAATAAGATATGTTTCTAATATTTTTCTTCCAAGGAAAGGATTAAATTTGAGACAGAGTTCAGGGTAAAGTAGGGTGTAGAGAATGGGGTGGTCAGCTCTCACTCACAAAGTCAGAGAATTTGCCTTTGCCAAATCTAGTAAGGTTTGGATATCCTGTCACTTGCAATCCTTGGGTTTCCATTTACACAGAAATCTTCATAGAGGAAGTAATCTGACCTGTATCCTGGGGGAACTGTAGAAGATATCTAGCTTTGGGGCATTGCCTGGAGTGAAAACAATATGTGCGAAGGCAATAAAGCACTTTTCAGAAAGTACCATATATTATATATACACGCACACACATATATATATGTATATATGCATATATAAACATGCTAATTCAAATACTAGAAATGGTGAGCAGTAATGGAAAGAAAGTTAAGTTGAAGTTAATCTAATCAAAAGGGACCCATTTTAGAATTTTGCTGCAAAAGGCAGGGACTCATCATTATATCCTTTTATGTGTGTGTTTTGAGGGGGACATGAGTGTGCATTTTTATTTTAGAAAGTGGAAATAATGGGTTGGATGGAGACAATCAAGACATAGAAGAAATAGTTTTATCAGTTGGTAGATTATGACAGTAGTTTAGAAAGAGAAAATGATCCCAAATGAATAAGGTCATCAGTTAAATTTTTTTAAATTATTTAAATTTAAATTTCAAATTCTCTGTAATATAATTTATTTAATTTTTTTATATATTTCTATTTTATAATGCACAATATGACTTTAGATGTAAAGATTATAAAAATTTAAGTTTTTCTACATTTATATTCACTTTGAGGAATTTTTAGGTGTATTTTTATATAAAAATATCAGAAAAGCTGTAATGGAGCAAGTGGCTTTAACCCACTGAGTTTCTGTTACTGTGTTTCTCCAGTAGGGATAATAATATCCACCCATCTGGACACTGGGAGTGATGTCAGTGTTGTTTAGTTGGGATTGGAGCTTATTTATTTCTGGGATTTGCTTACAAGGGATCACAGCAAGAAATGGAAACAAAAATACATGATTCATATTCTTAAAGAGATTCAAGACTGATCCATAGAAACAACACGAGGACCATGTTCAAACAGAGAAAGTAAAAACAATAAATGAAACCAGGGACTAGCTGTTCAGTTAAATGCAGTAGGAACAAGCGCTAAAACAAGACAGGTATTGCCCTGGGAATTGCTATTGACTTTTGTTTGTGTTCCTAGGATATCAAAATGTAAGACTTGTCAATTATTTGTATCAGCAGGCTGGTAAAGACACATATGTTTTAGGTTGATTTAGAAGTATAGATATTAAGAGAAAAGCATTAATTATTTATAAACACTTGGAAAGAAAAGATTAAAATTATCTTTTGTTTTGATGGTGATTTGACTGTTTACCTAGAGAATTTAAAATACTATATTAGAATTAATACAATATTTAGGAAGGTTAATGGAGAAAACATACATTTAACAATAGTTTTCCTCTGTTTCAACAATGTACTTCTAGAAATCATAATTGATTTCTTCATTTATCAAAGAATTACTAGTCATTAACCTGCATTTGTCCCACTTGTTGGTGGATAGGTATAAATAAATATACAAAAGAAACCTTATTGAGTACAATTCTAGATAGGATAGGTAAAATATAATCAGTAAACCCAAGAGATAAATACAATTGTATGGTAGCTACTGATGGCAGCAGTGGCCCATCTGGAATAGCTGTTGCCAGGATGCTGGCTTCAATGGGGGAGGTGCAGCAGGGGTTGGACTTTGTGGGGCTCCTGGGAGCTGAGAACAGGCAGGAGCCTCTCCCCTTACCGTCAGGGGGAGCCCCGCCCTCCCAGGCACAGCTGCAGCTGCCCAGCCATGGCTTCGGACCTGGGCATCCCTGCACTCTTGGGGGCTCAGGAAGCCCTCTGTCCCCACAGGCTCAGAATTGCCTGCTCCCACTCCCTGGCCTCTCCCTCATGCTGGCACCTGCTCTGATTTTGGAGGAAAGTTGAGCTGAGCCCAAGCACTGTAGTGACCTGGCTGGGAGTGTGTGCACTCAGGGCAGTGCTGACACGCTATTCCCCCAGTTGCCTTGGCCCCCTCCAGACTTTGGACACTGAGGAGTCCAGGAGGGAGGCCAGGGGTGGGCTGAGGGCAGCTCAGTGTGGGCCTGCAGGTGCCCCTCAGCATGAACATCCTGGGTGCTGTGGACAGCATGTTGAAGATGGGAGGCAGACAGACTCCTGAGCAGAAAGGGTTAGGTCCCAGGTGAGACCCCACATTCAAGCCAGGATGGCCTGAAGCGTGGGGGCTCAGCTGCCAGCTCCAGGTGGAGTCCTTGGCCCAGAGTGAGAACTTATGGTGCTTTTTCCAGGCCCACCCATGGCTATCCTTGGACCAATCAGCACTCACTTCCTCCATTCTGAGCCCATAAAAACCCTGGACTCAGCCAGACTTGTACAGATGTCAGGACTACCAGTTGTGGAAAGGAATTATCCACTGCAGTTCTCCTCTCTGCTGAGAGCTGGACACTGCTGAGAGTTGGACACTCATTGGGATGACCTGCTTGTGGAAAGGAGCTACCCATTTCGGGTCTCCTGAGATCTGTTCTGTCACTCAATGAAGCTGCTCTTCACCTTACTCACCCTCCAGTTTTCTGCCTCTCTCATTCTTCCTGGATACAGGACAAGAACTCTGGAGCCTCTGAATGGCAGGACTGAAAGAGCTGTAACATAAACAGGGCTGAAACACGCCCTCCACTCACTGTGTTGCTTGTGATAAGAAGGAGAGAAGCACTGCAACCTTTCAGTAAGCCCAGACCTAGGGTCTCCCTGAGCCAGAGTAGTGACATCCTCTTTGGGGCTTGCAGTTCCTGGCATCTCCAGGCTTCTGGGTTTCACTGCTTTTTCCTCTCCAGACATGGGTGCCCACAGTTTAAGCCATGTGTGGTACATGTGGTCCAGCTGCAGCCTTGCACAGAGCCCACACCTGTGTCGGTGCCTGGAGCTGCCCGCCCTGCTGCACTGTCAGCATGCCCAGCTATGCACAGTGGCCAGATCCCATGCTCACTTACTCACACACCCCTTGCTGTTCTGCACCTGGCTTGCCCTTGGCAGGTGTGGGGTCCAGGCTGGTAAAGTGAGTCAAGTGCTGCCTGCCAGGCCAAGTGGGGAGAATGAGCTCAGCTCTGAGTATGAGAAATACTCAGGCAGAAGGCGCCACCAGCCACAGAGGTTTCCAGCTGGCGAAGTGACACCCCAGGGATCCTGTGACACTACAAGTTGAAAAGTATGTTTGAGTACAAATTTAAGCAAGGGAGCAGAAAATTGGGAGTGCAAAAGGGATGCAGTTCTAAATTGAGAGATTATATTCTCAAGCTACATAATAAAATTGATATGACATTGATATGGAGATTGACAAAATATTTGGTGAAAAAAAACTAGAATGTTTCCAGAACTGGACCACAATATGTATCATAATTTAATGTATAGTAGAGATGTTACTTTAATTCAGTGGAATGAGACATGTCCTGTTTATGAAATCAAGCTGGAACAACCTTTATCCATTTGAAAGTAAATAAAAGGGGACTACTCTCTCACACTAAGCAGAAAAATATAACTCATTTAGAAGAAAACCTAGATGTAAAAATAATGGTAATAAAAAAGATATCAAAACTCTCTTGTGAAAAACTAGAAAGTGAATACATCTTTCATTAAATGCATAGTTATTGAATCCTGTTAGGTATAATTCTAGGTGCTTGAGGCATTACAATTAAATGAAACATGGATCTCCATGTTGAATAAATAGGAGACAATAACTAGCAAGCAAAATAAATAATTATACAATCTATTTTGCCAGGAAATAACAAGGGCTGTGGAAAAAAGTATAACTAAAGTGAAACTGGGAAAGAGAGATTGTGAATGCTGGGGCCAAAGAGGGTAAAGAGTAGGCCAGATTATGATTCTTTGTAATACCATAAAATAGGACTCATTGAAAATGTGTCATTTGGTCAGTGCATTGACTCTCACCTGTAATCCCAGTGCTTTGGGATACTAAGGCAAGAGGATCACTCCAGGTCAGCAGTTCAAGACCAGCCTGGATAACACAGTGAAACCCCTATCTTCACACACACACACACACAGAAATTAGCTAGGCATGGTGTCATGCTCTTGTCATCCTAGCTACTTGGGAGGCTGAGTCTGAAGGATTGTTTGAGCCCAGGAGGTTGAGGCAGCAAGGGGCTATGATCACACCACTTCACTCCAGTCTTGCTGACAAAGTGAGACCCTGTCTCTAAAAAGAAAGAAAGAAAATATTGCATTTGAGCCAAAATTTGAAGAAACTGACTAGCAATTCAGGCAGATGCCTTAGAACACAGAGGTCTAAGCAGAGTCAGGAGCTGGTGTAAAGGTTCTAAGGTGTGTGTGTGTACACAGAAGAGCATAGTCAGTATGTGGCTTCAAGAACTGGAGGGATATTAAGAGGTAAAATGGAATCAGGTCATATAGAGCATTGTAGGCTGTTTTAATAACTTCTCATATAACCATTCTTTATATGCAAAAACTCAAAGTTGAGCCCCATTTGACAAGATAGAAATTAGAAATCCTTTTGAGTTATAATACCATAAAAAGAAAATACACAAACCATAGATTTGAAAAATTGTAATTGCCATACCTAAGATATACTACATTTTTAATTTGCATAAAATAGAAAAATGAGTTAAATGTGTTGAAGGCAGTGCACAAAGAACAAATCCAACAGTTCAACAGACATACGAGAGTTTATCTACCTTTATGGTAGTGAAGTCAATGAAAATTAAAATAACAGTGACTTTTGAAATACCTATGAGAGTGGCATAAATTAAGAAGAAAAGAACTATAATTCCAATTACTGGCTAAAATGCAAGGATATACTTTGCTAATGGAAATATCAATTTGTCTATTTCTAAAGCAATCTGCAAATATCTAGTAACATTAGTGACATTGAAAGTACAATTTTAAGTGATTGCTTTTATACCTTTGTAAGCCTTTTAATAGAAATCATTTTAAATATTGATTTAAAAATCTTTAGACAAAAAAATCTTGATGGACTACAAAACCTGATTGTGTGTATGCAAAAGAATGCACGTGTGCACATATACTCACACAGGTGTTTTTTGTATGGACTTAAAATTTGGAGAAAGAAATGCTCAGTAATTCTGGCTTTGGTACTACCACCCTGTTTTAATTGTAAATTTGTCATATTTGTTTTATATATTATTATGTACATATAATTATTTATACATATATATATTCCAAACAAGTATTTTATTTTGCATAACAATTCAAGCTTACAAAAATAGACTTAATAATTTTTGTTTAATGTCAATATTCTTATGGTATAATGTGGAAACTGAGGCCCCAATAAATATACAAATTTACATAGCGAATAACAAAGCCAGATGTAGCTAACATTCTCTCCCTGCCACCCCCATCCCCCTTACTTTCTTTCTCTCTCTTAACCATGCCAGTGTTCTCTAGACAAAAGGGCGTGAGAACCTTGAATTAGATGCTTCCACGTACAAAGCTTGATTGTCTTCTCTGAGTCCTGTCAGGATTTTTGCTATTATTTTCCAGCATCTCCCAAACTTTTTGAAGTTTATGTTTGAAATTAAGTAGCATGCAAAAGTTCTCTGGACTGGGGACAAATTTCTTCTTTGATTATTGTGCCATATTCCCCATTATAGGAAGGTCAGAAGGAAACATCTGGCCAGCAAATTGCCATGGAGTAGAATTGAAGAATTACTGGGAAATTCATGCAATTCCATGGACAAGTGACAAACGATTCCGAAGGCATTGATGCCAAAACATTCACAACAGAAAAGAGAAAATAAAGAGCGTTTTGTCCTAAGAATTAAAAAGAAAAGACAAATATAAATGTCAACCAAGGGCCATAGATGTTCTAAATTTTATTCCAAGTGGAAAACAGCAAGTCTTCCAACTTTGTGAAACACTTTCTTTAGGCAATAAAGATTACGTTTGTTTACATCTGGCATTTTAATCATCCTCATCTAGATTGTCTAGATTTATATCAATTAAATAGCCAAGACCAAGAAAAAAGGGTAACTTGCCCAAGTCACCCAGTTAATTATCAGCAATGTCAGACTAGATGTGCATTTTCTGACATTATCTTCCCCATCCTCTTCCTCATAGAGTATCTTGGGGTGAGATATTGAATGAATGTAGAAAACAGATAATTCATACTTAGAGGAACAAAGAAGAAAATTAGTTTTCAAAAACATGTAACTAATATAACTGCACAGAAGACATTCTCTGCAATACTGATATTACCTTTTATGTAATTTTTTTGGGCATAGATAAAGAGTATGTGCTACACACCACAATTGGCAAATAGTTTCTTGAGGGTGATACGTGATTCAGCTCTTAGCATCTTCTTTTCTGTGTCTTTTTGGCCCAGAACTATAATGTGTTTTTCACTTCATTTTGAGTACCTTGAGTTCATCGAGTTTTTCATTATTATTATATTTGGTCCTTGGGCCACTTAATATGATCACAAAGCAGGTATGAATAAGTGTTGAACAAGTAAATTGATAGATGAATATATTCCTGGCTTGTAAGTGGAAAATACTTCCACTTGTTGACATGTGGCCTTAGGAAGTTGTTAGTGATTCCCAAGCCCTTAATCATGAAAATCCCTTGTGTGTTCGTCCATTTTCATGCTGCTCATAAAGACATATCTGAGACTGGGCAATTTACAAAAGAAAGAGGTTTGTTGGACTTAAAGTTCCACATGGCTGGGGAAGCCTCACAATCACGGTGGAAGGTAAAAGGCACATCTTGCATGGCAGCAGACAAAAGAAGAGAGCTTGTGCAGGGAAATTCCCCTTTTAAGACAATCAGATCTCATTAGACTTATTCACAATCACGAGAACGGCATGGGAAAGACCTGCTCCCATGACTCAATTACCTCCCACCAGGTTCCTCCCACAACACATGGGAATTCAAAATGAGATTTGGGTGGGGACACAGTCAAATCATATCACCTGGTTATTATACCTGTTTGTGTGTATATGTGTGGGCACTGATGCTACCTCCCCACTGTTGTCACTCAGAATCATGTGTTGTCTATGACACTTTAGTGTTCGTGTGATATCAGTATGAGTTTGTCTTCTTGAACCAACTGATGATCTTTGATTGAAATATAACTTTGGGGAACCTACTGTAGGTCAGTTATTGTTCCAAGCACTAGAAATAAAATAGGCAAAGACAACTTTTCTACTTGTGCAGAAAACTCACAGATGAGTTTAAGACAGAGATGCACAAAGAACTGGAGAGCATTAAGAAGAGCCTCTGAGTTGTGTTTGGAGGTGAGACCTGGAAGACGAATATAAATTCTGCGGACAAAAAAGTGTGGGTTTAGTGGTAGGCAAAAGAGTATTTGAATGGGGCTTGCTTTTTTTTCGGAGGAATGGGTCTGCATGTGGGAAGGTAAATGAGAAGATCTGAGAGACCATACACATTCATGCATGTGAAATGTCTATGTTTATTTGGAATAATAGGAGAAGAAAGAGATTAAACCTGAATGTAAGGAGAAGATAAAATCTGAGACATTGAAGAAGAAAGGGATAAACACTGAGAGTAAGCAGAGCCACACCTTGTAAAACTTTGCCAACTGAATAACTTATACTTTATCAAGGGTTTTTGAAATTTATTGAACAGTTTTAAGAAGCGGGGATTATATTCAAGTTGGCTTTTTTTTTTTTTTTTTTTTTTGAGACTGTGTCTCACTCTGTCGCCAGGCTGGAGTGTGCAGTGGTGTGATCTCAGCTTACCGCAACTTCTGCCTCCCGGGTTCAAGCGATTTTCCTGCCTCAGCCCCCGGAGTAACTGGGACTACAGGTGCGCAATGCTACACCCAGCTAATTTTTGTATTTTTAGTAGACACGGGGTTTCACCTTGTTGGCCAGGATGGTCTCGATTTCTTGACCTCGTGATTTGCCTGTCTCGGCCTACCAAAGTGCTGGGATTAACAGGTGTGAGCCACCGCGCACAGCCTCAAGTTGCTTTTAAAATTACTTGGTCTGCTCTGTGAAAAAAAAAATGGCTAGATGAGCAATGTTGAAAGGAGGACATATGTTTCTTCTTCTAAAAAGTAATGATAATTGTAAACTGACTAGACTTATTAGAAATGGGTTTTACACCCTTTGGTGTAATGGGCTAGATTGGATTTGAAATGGAGCCAAACACAGAGTCCGGCACAAAGAATTCATGTAATATACCTTAGTTTCTCTCTACCCATTTCTAATTTCCTTATTTGCTCTTGCCTTGTCAAAGATTTTTTTTTTTTAAGTGGACTATATGTTGCTTCTGTCGTGTCTGTTTTATCCATGCCTGAGAATAGTGGGGAATAAGTGTTGGTCTAACTAGAGCCAAATCGCCAGGAAGCACTGAGTCTTTAAAGAATCACACGGGACAGGCACAGTGGCTCATGCCTGTAATCCCAGCACTTTGGCAGGCTGAGGTGGAAGGATCCCTTGAGTCTAGGAGTTTGAGACCAGCCTGGGCAACATGGTGGGACCCAATCTCTACAAAAAATAAAACAATTAGCTTGGCATGGTGGCACATGCCTGTAATCCCAGCAACTCCGGAGGCTGATGCAGGAGAGCATAAGCCTGGGAGGTTGAGGCTGCAGTGTGCTATAATTGTGCCACTGAACTCCAGCCTGGATGACAGATTGAGACCCTGTTTCAAAAAAAACCCACTCATCCTTTCCATTGTCCTCTTTATTTCCTTTTAAGTTAAAGTTATGTAGTCCTCTGTCTACAGATACTCTATCATCAGACAGAAAAAAAAATGGAGGAGATGTTGACTGAGCTCTTGTCCAGTGTTTGAGTGTGACATTGTTCCATTCTGATATAATCTCAATCTTCAGGTATGCATGGAACAGATGAAGCGGGCATTTTTGTCATCCTCTCCCATATATTTACTTGGTATCTGTGATCTTCTTAATGAGAACCTGGGGTAAAGTCATAAGATCATAAGATACACATAAACCTCATATCAGCACCAGCATCCGTTCATCCATTTGCCGTTTTAGATGAAGGAGGTTTATTGTGCTGTATTTAGCTGGATGGAAAACTAGGAAAACTGTCAAAAGGACATTATAGAAAAAGAAAAAAATCTTTCAGTAAAACATGTTTCATTTCCATCATTTCAATTGCTTTGGAATTATGGGCTATTTCTTCAGGGACAGCAGCTTTAAGGCAAATGGTTGAGTCTCTAAAAAACTACTGATCACTTTCCTAAATAAACTGTGGGACAATCTCTACAATAAGATACAATGCTTCAGTCATGTTCAAAGGAATGCCACAACCACTGTCCACTTGACAATTCAGTCTTGAAGGTCAGACAAAACATCACACTTCTATGAATTTTTTAATTTTTTTTATTATATTTTAAGTTCTAGGGTACATGTGCGCAATGTGCAGGTTTGTTACATATGTATACATGTGCCATGTTAGTGTGCTGCACCCATTAACTCATCATTTACATTAGGTATATCTCCTAATGCTATCCCTCCCCCCTCCCCCCACCCCACAACAGGCCCAGGTGTGTGATGTTCCCCTTCCTGTGTCCAGGTGTTCTCATTGTTCAATCCCCACCTATGAGTGAGAACATGCGGTGTTTGGCTTTTTGTCCTTGTGATAGTTTGCTGAAAATGATGGTTTCCATCTTCATCCATGTCCCTGCAAAGGACATGAACTTATCCTTTTTTATGGCTGCGTAGTATTCCATGGTGTATATGTGCCACATTTTCTTAGTCCAGTCAATCACTGATGGATATTTGTGTTGGTTCCAAGTCTTTGCTATTGTGAATAGTGCCGCAATAAACATACGTGTGCATGTATCTTTATAGCCGCATGATTTATAATCCTTTGGGTATATACCCAGTCATGGGATGGCTGGGTCAAATGGTATTTCTAGTTCTAGATCCTTGAGGAATCGCCACACTGTCTTCCACAATGGTTGAACTAGTTTACAGTCCCACCAACAGTGTAAAAGTGTTCCTATTTCTCCACATCCTCTCCAGCACCTGTTGTTTCCTGACTTTTTAATGATCGCCATTCTAACGGGTGTGAGATGGTATCTCATTGTGGTTTTGATTTGCATTTCTCTGAAAGAGAATGTTCACAACTTCCACTGTACTCACAAAGAACTTTGTACCCTGGGTTGCACTTCACTGTATAATTTAACTTTGGGTTTGTCTGTCCATTGGTCCCACTTAGTATCTTGTGATTACATTGTGTTCTCATCATGCCTTATCTCTGTGTATCTAAAATCTTCACATAAAAATAGGTGGTTAGCAAAAAAAAAATGCTTTTAAAGGAATGGATGCATTGTTAAGTACAGGCTCTCAGAAATGTATCCCAAGATTTTTTTAAAATTACATTTGGAAACAATTATAGAGTCACTGAAAATTGCAAAGATAGTACAGAAAGTTCCCCTTTGACCTTCATTCAGCTTTCCCTAATGGAAACATTTAAATAACTATTGGACATCTTCAAAACAAGGAAATTGATATTGGCACAATACAATTAACTAGAATCTACTTGGATTTCATCAGGTTTTGCATGCACTGTTTTTTTTTGTGTGTTAATTTTTGTAATTTTGTGTATAGTTATGTGAGATTTTCTCACCTGCATAGGTTTATACAAGTCAGATACTGAAATGTTCTGCCACTCAATGGACCTACTTTTATAGCCACACCCTCTTCCTCTGCACTAACCACAGGCAACCATTGAGCTGTCCTCCCATTGCTATAGTTTTGTTGTTTAGAAAATGTATAAATGGAATCATCTAGCACTTAACTTTCAAAGATTGACATTTTTCACTTAGTGTGATGTCCTTGAAATCCATCCAAGTTGTCCCATTACCTGCAGTTTCTTTCTTTTTAGCACTGGGTAGCATTCTATTATGTGATTGTACCACAGTGTGTTTAGCCAGACTCCTCAGATATTTAATATAATTTTCAATTTTTTTCATCATTACCATCTCATGCTTACACTTCTCATAGGTAATAGTTTAAAAATTCTTTTCCCAAGATCTTTCTTGTGAATGTTTCTCGTTAAATTCTCTATAAATCATGTCCCTTATTGATGTGCCAGAGAGGAATATTTCGACATCTAACTTGGCCCTCCAGCATTCTTCAACTTGGAACCAAGTTGAAGGATACAACTTCCCCAGTAGTAAGAACAACATGGTTATAGGATCTTGGCAAAAATTTGGAACGTACAGGTTACAGTAAGTAATTTTGGTAAATGTTCCTAATTCACTCTGTTCCTTTGCACACATTAACATTTTACTCCAGGGTTCTTTAGCAACGCACTTTTAAGTGCTATCAGAGATAATTTATTTGTTCTAAACCATGCATAACTCAGTGAATCTGAGAGCTTGATCTTTGAGGGGGAACTGTTTTTAAAGGAAGATCATTTTATATTTGATACAGCTCTGGCAAGAACTGAATTTAACAAATCGATATACACTTATGGTTTCACCAAAGGCTTCGGGTGGTTAAGGAGGTGGTGGTGTGACTTGGAAAGGCATAGACAGCTTTTTATGACTCTAAGTAGTGGAGTTGACATTTTTTTTCAGTACAACGATTCAAACACACAAAAGGAATCCCCATGATGCTGAGTAAAAAATACTTTGTGTTTTCTTTTTCTGCTTTTTTTCAACTTAACCCTGAGATCATGAAAAAGAGTGGAAAGAAAAGAATAATAATGAGAATCTGACTTAGTAAAAGCAAAGTTCTTTCTCTGTTAGTATCACAAAAACAGAGAAGTCCCCAGGCCTTTCATGTGTATTCTGGAAGGAACGCCCGCTTCCAAAAATGGTAAGTTTAACCTTCTCTAAGTTACATTTTCCTGAATAATCAAGGCTCAGTCTTGTTCTTTTGTTACTGAATACATCTCTCATAAAACTCAGACGCCTTTTTGGGTTGACCCTGGAGCTGAGGGTGGAGGCAGCAAGGAGGTGGGTTAGGAGGAAGCCCATGTATTTCATGTTTCTTCTAATCAGTTTCTTTCAGGTGCTTCTTCAGGGACTGCCTGATCCCTTCACAATGCTCCTGCTCCTGATCAAGGAAAAGACATATGATTTTGCAGTCTCCTTTAGCTCTCCTTCATGGAAATGATTCTCTTGATACTGAAACTAAAACATATTCTAGGCATGGCTGAAAAGTAAGCATCCCGGGCCTCTTTTCAATTTCTCCAAGCCCCAGCCGCGATTGGAAATTGTTAAGCAGTCTTTCTCATAGTTTCTTTCTGTTTTTACTATTTTGGTTTGCTTTATATGAATCATTTTTCACTGCAGCAAGAAAAGTGAGGGAGTGAAAGGTAACAGAGTGCTGGGGAATAGAATAATATTTGCTCTCTGCTGAGTCATCTGACTCAGATCATTAGTAGGGCCCTTTCAAGGCTGGATTTCTAGCTGGAAAGGGATTTTTAAAATGAGAAAAACTGAAAATAACCCCCATGCTGATGGTCAGGATTTAACTAGGAATAGAAGTTTGCCTCCAAGAATGTTAGGAGAAATTTCTGAGAGGATCTTGCCTAAAACTTGTCACTTGTGGATTCCAATTTTTAACTTTGAGTTTTATATTGAAATAAATGTGTCATGTTCTCCTAGTATCTGTGAAATATTTTTATTCTATGATAGGATAGGTTAGAAACAAAAGCAGGGAATTTTCCAAACCTTGGTACATGTTGTGAGTGGATATTTGGTGTCATAGAGAGAATTAGGTATTGAAGACAGACAGCCCTGACTGGGTTTCCTCCATATATAGTTTATCAGCTGATGATTTCTTGAGAAGCGTGTTACCTTTTTGATCTGGAATATTGTAATGCTACCTTTCTTTCAAGGGTGCTGCAGGGATTATAATGTGGAAAACAAATCAATTTATTATTAGAAAAATAGTATTATTGTATTATTAGAAATCTAAATTAGAAAAATTTAGTTGTTGTACAGGCCTTCAAAATAGTTTACACAAGCACCCTGCATTTAACAATAGTAAATCAAAACCTAGTGATCTGAATTTATAAACATAGAAAGCTAGTATTAGAGACCGTCTGACTTTTAGGTTACTGTATGTAGAATACTTTTGACTTATATTCGTAACTTCTGTGTATATACTTGTAAATATTTATAATATTAAATATAAATATTTATAATATTTAATACTATAAATATAATATTAAATATTATAAATATTTAAATATTTATAATACATTTACTCACTATAATACTGAGTAAATAATTTCAGAGTAAATTTGGCATATATCTCATAATAGAAACATTGTAAATACAGGTAAAGGATTTGCAAGCAATGACAACTCAAATGAAAATAAAAGTGATTCGGCTAGATCCAAACCAAAGATGAAATTGAACATGAGGATACAACATGAGTTCACTTATTTTTATCATATCCAGCCTACATCTGACTTTGTTACCCAATAAATGTTATGCTGGGACTGTTATATAACATTCCACATTCAGCTGTTGTTCCAGCAGATGACATTAAAACTCCTTCAACCACCATTAAGATAACAAGTAAGTTTCACTTCCTTAGGATTTCTGGCAATAATTGAAAACTTATTTAACATATGCCTAGAAAGACAAGCTGAAGAAGAGAACAGAAAAATGATTATTCAACTTGTTCAGAGTCTGCCTAAAATTACTCCAGAATGATTGGACTGACAATTCCCATTGGAAAGGAGGCTTGTGGCCCTTATGGTCATAAAAGGCATATGATCTGTGACCTCTACAATACAAGATGAGAAAGACAAAGCTGGGTGTACAATGTACAGATGTTGAAGGAGATAGAAATGTTGTTTCATATTTAAGGATTAAAGATACAATTTAATTTTTGAAAATACATAAATTACATGATACATAAACAACCTCCTCTATCTCCTCTAAATCATATTACTCGAACAAACCACAGCTTTAGCCTAAGAGAAAGCTTTTCCAATAACTAAGTGAACTGATAGAGTTTCTTTTTATTTAAAAAAAAAACCTACTTAATAAACATGTAAGTGTAGAGTACAGTATTGTTAACTATGTGCATTGTATATAACATAACTCCAGACAGTTTTCATCTTGCATAACTGAAACTCTATAGCCAGCGAACTCCTTATTTCCCTCTCCCCGCAGCCCCCGGCAATCACCATCCTACCTTCTGCTACTAAGAGTTTGAGTACTTCAGATGCCTCAGATAATTGAAATCATACAGTGTTAAATGAATTGAAAACAAGATTTCAAAGAGATATACTTATAGTCTGAAGTTTATTCTAGCATTATTCATAAATGCTGATATATGAAATAACCCCAAAGTCCATATATGAATAAATGGATAATGAAAAGGTGATAACAATCTATTTATCTCTAGATATCTATCTATATGTCACATCTATCTGTCTATCTATTTATCTATCTATCTCTACCTATCACTTATCTGTTGATAGATAGATATCTATAGATAAAGAGATATAGATTTCTCTCTCTCTATATATATAGGTATCTACGTATTTATATGTAGATATAGGTGGATATAGGTATCTACATCTTCATATAGAGAGATAATCTGTCTATCTATCTAATACAGTCATGGTCTTTTAATGATGGGATACTTTCTGATAAATGCATCCTTAAGCGATTTTGTCATGCATTGACAGAGTGTACATACACAGACCTAGACAGTACAGCCTATTACATGTCTAGGTTAATTATGTAAACATTTCTTACAAAGAGTTTGAGGCCAACCTCTTATATAAAATGTAAATATTACCAGGAAAAAACATATTCTATGTTTTATTAGTTTTATATAATATAAACAAGAACTTTTGCTCTTTGGACCTCAACATTTCTTACCGGTTTGGGGGGGTAAAAAAAAAGAAGGGAAGAAAGAAAATAATTGTAGCTCGTTATTTTCTAAAGGAAGCTTGATAGTTAAAAGTTTATGAAAGTTAACCTGATGGAGTTTAGAGATTTTCCAAGGGATTTGGAGTCTAAAGGCTTGGATCTGAGTTTTGAGTATGTCATTAAATGGCTTTGTGATCTGGTTTTGTATCCTCAGTTTTTTCATCTATAAAATTATGCTGATACAAGCTTTTCTCCAGTGTTTTTAGGTAAATCATGTGAAGCTGTATATATGAATATATGTTTTGTTTACTAAAAATATTAATGTTTTCTGATGATTCTATTAGTAGTGTTAGTCAATAGGATGTGCTACACCTAAGGACTGAAATGTTAACTTTATATATAAATATGTCAATATATACATATAACATTACTCTGTCATTTAACATGTCATTTAACATCTGTTTACATATTCTCTGTCTAGGTCATGCAGGTACTGGATCTTTACCAGTGTCTGTAAGTGAATCTGAAATTGTTTAGAAGGATCCCAGAATTTGAGAACTGGGTAGTAGGACCTGGAATCTGGGATCTAAAGATGCTAGGACAATTAATGAAGGCTATGCCAAAGGCAAATAATGATTCCAGATAATTAATGAAATTAAGAAACATAAACTTCTGGGATAAAAGGCATTTCTAAATACTTACTTATGTTTTCAAATGTATTCTTTATACAAACACTCAGTTATAATGTTGATTTCTTTTTTTTTTTAGGAATAACTTCTGAAATTTATTTATTTATTTTTATTATTATTATACTTTAAGTTTTAGGGTACATGTGCACAATGTGCAGATTAGTTACATATGTATACATGTGCCATGCTGGTGTCCTGCACCCATTAACTCGTCATTTAGCATTAGGTATATCTCCTAATGCTATCCCTCCCCCCTTCCCCCACCCTACAACAGTCCCCAGAGTGTGATGTTCCCCTTCCTGTGTCCATGTGTTCTCATTGTTCAGTTCCCACCTATGAGTGAGAACATGCGGTGTTTGGTTTTTTGTCCTTGCGATAGTTTACTGAGAATGATGATTTCCAATTTCATCCATGTCCCTACAAAGGACATGAACTCATCATTTTTTATGGCTGCATAGTATTACATGGTGTATATGTGCCACATTTTCTTAATCCAATCTATCGTTGTTGGACATTTGTGTTTGTTCCAAGTCTTTGCTATTGTGAATAGTGCCGCAATAAACATACGTGTGCATGTGTCTTTATAGCAGCATGATTTATAGTCCTTTGGGTATATATCCAGTAATGGGATGGCTGGGTCAAATGGTATTTCTAGTTCTAGATCCCTGAGGAATCGCCACACTGACTTCCACAATGGTTGAACTAGTTTATAGTCCCACCAACAGTGTAAAAGTGTTCCTATTTCTCCACATCCTCTCCAGCACCTGTTGTTTCCTGACTTTTTAATGATTGCCGTTCTAACGGGTGTGAGATGGTATCTCATTGTGGTTTTGATTTGCATTTCTCTGATGGCCAGTGAGGGTGAGCATTTTTTCATGTGTTTTTTGGCTGCATAAATGTCTTCTTTTGAGAAGTGTCTGTTCATGGCCTTTGCCCACTTTTTGATGGGGTTGTTTGTTTTTTTCTTGTAAATTTGTTTGAGTTCATTGTAGATTCTGGATATTAGCCCTTTGTCAGATAAGTAGGTTGCGAAAATTTTCTCCCATTTTGTAGGTTGCCTGTTCACTCTGATGGTAGTTTCTTTTGCTGTGCAGAAGCTCTTGAGTTTAATTAGATTCCATTTGTCAATTTTGGCTTTTGTTGCCATTGCTTTTGGTGTTTTAGACATGAAGTCCTTGCCCATGCCTATGTCCTGAATGGTAATGCCTAGGTTTTCTTCTAGGGTTTTTATGGTTTCAGGTCTAACGTTTAAGTCTTTAATCCATCTTGAATTAATTTTTGTATAAGGTGTAAGGAAGAGATCCAGTTTCAGCTTTCTACATATGGCTAGCCAGTTTTCCCAGCACCATTTATCAAATAGGGAGTTGTTTCCTCATTTCTTGTTTTTGTCAGGTTTGTCAAAGATCAGATGGTTGTAGATATGCGGCGTTATTTCTGAGGGCTCTGTTCTGTTCCATTGATCTATATCTCTGTTTTGGTACCAGTACCATGCTGTTTTGGTTACTGTAGCCTTGTAGTATAGTTTGAAGTCAGGTAGCGTGATGCCTCCAGCTTTGTTCTTTTGGCTTAGGATTGACTTGGCAATGTGGGCTCTTTTTTGGTTCCATATGAACTTTAAAGTAGTTTTTTCCAATTCTGTGAAGAAAGTCATTGGTAGCTTGATGGGGATGGCATTGAATCTATAAATTACCTTGGGTAGTGTGGCCATTTTCACGATATTGATTCTTCCTACCCATGAGCATGGAATGTTCTTCCGTTTGTTTGTATCCTCTTTAATTTCATTTAGCAGTGGTTTGTAGTTCTCCTTGAAGAGGTCCTTCACATCCCTTGTAAGTTGGATTCCTAGGTATTTTATTCTCTTTGAAGCAATTGTGAATGCGAGTTCACTCATGATTTGGCTCTCTGTTTGTCTCTTATAATGTTGATTTCAAGAACTAAACAAGAAGGATTCATAAGTGTTTCTCAAATACCAGTCAAGTGCTTATCCATCGCCCAGGCAACTTGCATGTATTACTTGTGTAATCCTCCTGATAACTGTATCAGATGGGTACTTTTATTTACAAATGTGGGACTGAGTTGCAATGAATACTTAAAGTGTCCAGAGCCATGATACAGAGATAGATCTTAGCCCAAATGTTCTACCTGTCTAATTATCTGTTATCTAAATACACATGATATATTTTTATCTATTTGTATTAGTTCATTCTCTCATTACTATAAAGAAATACCTGAGACTGGGTAATTTATAAAGAAAAGAGGTTTACTTGGCTCACGGTACTGCAGGCTGTACAGGAAGCGTGATGCTGGCATCTGCTTGGTTTCTGGGGAGGTCTCCAGAAAATTACAATCATGGGGAAGGCGAAGCAGGAGCAGGCACATCACACGGCCGGAGGAGAAGCAAGAGATCAAGAGTGAGGTGCTACACACTTTTAAATGACCAAATCTCATGAGAACTCACTATTGTGATAACAGTACCAAGGGGGATGGTGCTAAACTATTCATGAGCAATCTGCCCTCATGATGAGTCACCTCCCACCAGGCCCCATCTCCAACATTGGGGGTTACATTTCAGTAGGAGATGTGGGTTGGGACAGTTCCAAACCATATCACTATCAATGTTTCTTTGTGTGCATGTATTATATCTATCTATCTCTCTGCCTAAGTCTCTATTTCTATACCTAGATAGTACCTTGAGAAAGTAAGTCTATATCTTATTTTCATATTGGCATATCTTGCTCAAGTAATAGAAAGGGCCAACCACAAGTGAAAATCAACCTCAGGATCATGTCCACCATATAAAATAAAGAAAAAAGAAGAAGGAAAGGTTAAGAAATCTGAAATAATTTGTGAATATCGGACGGGGTAGTATTTCTCAGAAAAACATTTTAAATAATAGTAGGAATCCTGTTATAAGCTTCTATAACTCCATGGAAGAAATGGAGAAAACAGGGAAAAGTAAAATTAATTGTACAATTCAGTTACAGTTTAACACTTGATTCACACCTTATTAGGATGAATCAGCTCTTAGTATTTTCTCAGAAGACAGACAAATCTTAGGAAAACTCCAGGTGCCCCAGAAGCAATTTATTTGCGTTATAGTTTAGTTAATGGCTTTTGGAAGGAAAAAGAGCCTGATCATATCAAGAAATGTGTTATAGTTTTGTTTTGTTTTGTCACCTGCAAAACTTGGATCTGCCTGGAAAGTGGAAAAGAGGTAGGTATGTAAAAATATGTGTGCAGAATAGCCAGAGAACATGCATGATTTAGCATGAAGGCATATATGTTTCAAGTTTAAACTCTTTTATGAAGCCCACCAATGATCCGAGTTCTTTCACCTCCCTCCTGAATTTTCCCTCTCAGAACTCATTGTGTATCTCTAGCAGGCTGGATCCCTCTTCGGGAATTACCAAAGACCTCAAGAAATGCTTGTGAAACTCTTAACCCTGTACTGATTTTTAATAAGCTAGCTCATCTGATTTCTTTTTTAATCCTACTTAGTCCTTCCAAACCCTATTCAAACTCTTCCATTCATTCAAATTGTGAGTAACTTTTTGGCAGGGGCTTATCTAATTTTCCTATTTCCTCTGTACAGCATAGTGCTTTGCACATCAGAGCTGCTCAGTAATGTCTAAATAATTTTGTTTTCTTGACTGCTAGGGATCCACTACTAGAGGTCCCTGCATGCTGCTGTCCAGTTCTGCACTCCCTAAAATAAGTGCCTTATTATGCCTTTGCCTATGGCAAAGATAAAAATTTAAGTTTCGAGAGAATGAACAAAGTCACATGATTAACTAATGGGTATGAGGATGAGTTAAGCTCCATGCTTGTCCCATTGCCCTATAGTGCCTCAAAAGTTCACATGCAATGAATAAGACACATTAGGATATTTATCTGTGCCAAGGGAAGAGTGCAATAAAAGCTTGGAGAGTCTGTTCTTGCAATGACATTTGCACACATCCACATAAGTGAACACTCAAGTGACCCATTCTTTCTCTCCTATAATGCATGAGCTACCATTTGGAAAGGGATTGGAATATCTGCCAAAATGTTCTGAAAATGTTCATGGGTTTCATGATTCTCTTAAAATATTTTTTCCAGATTCGTATAGCCTTTTCTCAGTACAAAGAATGAATTCCACATTATTTCCTCCTAGAATAGAACTCAAAAATATTTCTTCCAAATGCTTCACAGCCTACCCTATACACTCTGCTCTTTGATGATGGCTCTATTTTAGAGCTCATGGTATGTAAGGCAGACGGAATGTTGTCTCATCTCCTTCCTGTCCATGCCAGTTTCTTCCTGTAAGCTACAGAATAAACTAAAGGAAGATGACTGCTTTATTTCTCACAACTAATATGATCCGTGATTCATGACATATATAGTTCTCTTGGAAGAATGTAAATAGGTTGTTTTATGCACTATAAGAGTCGGCAAAACCAATATTCATGGAAAATAATTATAGTTTTAAAGTACGCTGTATGTTTCAGGTCCTTTTATAGGTGGTTCACATATTTTATGTTTAATATTCAGTTCAAGCCTATGGTTGATATTAGTGTTAACATTTTACAATAAGAACTCTGAAGATTAAAGTGATAACTACCACAGAGCTAGCCAATGGTAAAACAGGATTCAATTCAAATTGATCTGTATAAAATTGAGTTCTTCTTAATGACATTTCACTGAGCAATTTTTTGTGGATGCCTTTAAACTCTTGTAGCATCATGATGAAGCAGAGAAAAGAATATCTTCTGAGGAATGCTATATAGCATAGTAGCATAGTATAGGGAAGGGAAGTAGACTTTGAAGCCAGATCCCCTGGGTTAAAATCCTGGCTCCATTATTTACAGCTGTGTCATTGTGTTTAAGTCAGTAAACTGCTCTTTGCCTCAGTTTCCTGATTTATAAAATAGAAGCAATGATAGTAGGTACCTCTTTGGGTTATTATGAGAATCAAATGAACAGTGGTGAGCACAGTACAGGAGGAGCTGTATGTGTTTGTTTGCTCTCACACCTTACCCCAGGCACTCCCTGGGCAAGAAACTACCTCACCATTGAGTTTTAAGAAGAATATAATGTGTAGACTAAAGAAACAAAATGCAACACCCTAGATCCTGCTATATACACGTATGCATTCAGTTTAACAAGAAGCAGTGGAACATGTCTATTCTGTCTTTTTTTGGAATTCTAGTCTGATGGTTTACTTACAAGGATAGAAGGATAAATTTAGAGATGAGACTACATATATATATATATGTATTATATATACATATGCATAAATATGTTTGGTCTGTGATTTTTGAGTAGGTATATGGTTTTCAACCATCACTGTCTGCACATGAAATAACACAGAACTTAAGCATTATACAACCCTAATTGTGAATTGGGAAAGGAGGGGAATTTTTTTTTCTTTTTCAAAATACTCTCCTTATGTCTCTGAGTTTCTGAAAATCTTAAGTAATTTTCCCCCCTTTGGCATCTTGTCATATCTTGAAGGTCAGGCTGACAGCAATGAACAAGCTCAATTTCTTTCTGATTTCCCAAGGATACTCACTGATACACTTTTTTCTGTAGTGTGATTAGGTCCCTCACATTAATAACAGAATACAGATCATCTGCAATTCTGAATATTAGTCTATCTTTAAAAAATGAGGGATTCATTTAACTAGTATTGAAGAACTAATTTAAAATTCACTAGCAATTCATTTTTCCCAGGTTATAGGATAGATTAAGAAGCACTGAATTTAAAATAAGCCTGAATCCTCAATGCATAGGGGAACATATTAAGAAACTATCTATAGGTAGCTTAACATAAAAAGAGAAATTTTTAAATTATAATTAAGTAGATATTATTTCTTGAGATTCTATCAACTGACTTAATGTTGTCTTAATTAATGTTGCAATATTTTTAAGAGAATATTCAAGCAGATACACATCTATACATATTGACGGGTGTATAGGATAATGAGTCACACTTCTTAAATCAGGCCAAAATCAGTTCAAATCCTCTCATTGACATTTAGTAGCAGCCAGATCTTGGGAGAGTTGTTTATTTAACCTCTCTTATCATCAGTGTCTTCATTTATAACAGTGAGAAAAATAATTTTAGGCTTAGAGTCAACCTTTTTAAATATCTATCACTTATTTCTTAGTCCACTTTATCACTAAAAATATCCCTTGATGTGTGTGTATATGTATGTTCAGCTATTCTATAAGAATGAAGGATTTGTAACGTCTCATACATAGGTTTGATATTTGGAGCTTTGGCTCCAAACAAAAATATTTTCAGCTTTATTAAAAAAAAGGAGTGTTTGGAGTGAACTGAAAGAAAAATAGTCATCCAAACAAAAAGTGATGATGCTTCTAACATCTTTTTGCCAAATTGATTTTTGCCTTTTAGGGTTAATTATCTACCAAGTGCCTTTTACCCCCTTGGTAGGGCCATCATGTTCTATTTATTTTAAAGTCCTTCCAGAAATGTTTAAGGAGATAGCAAACTCCGCTTGATCACTGGAATTTAGAAGGGGTTGAATACACAATGCCGATATCCAACAGGACCAATGCTCCTTTTTCCGACTTGTCCGAAACTCCAATTTTCTTTTTGCATATAATTTAACTAAAAAAAAAGAATTGAAGTTTGACCTTATTCTATGTTAATACCTATTACCTTGTCGGCAATTCTTCTTCATGAAAAATACCGCATTTTAAGTCATTCACGGAGGCCATGCTACCCAAGAGAAAATATTTGCAGAATATGATCATATCTGAACCAAAATGTTGATTCTGAATTGCTACTGTTCATTTAGTTTTCACTTAGAACTGATGTCATCTGGTAGAAACAATCATTGTTAACACATTCATCAATCTGGATTGTGTTAACTATTGAAAACTCTAGTTTATTTCATGAATCTCCCTTGTGTATATTGGCACATTTAGTGATGACCATTGGGCTTTGATAAATTTGAACTCCTGCAATTAGCTGTAACACCATTTATTTAAACAAAATTGTGGGCTATCTCTCTTTTAGATATTCACTATCTTTCAGCTTCTCTAAAATCTGACTATTTTCTTGTAATAATAAATTGCAGAGTAAGAAAAATTAAGATTAGTAACTGACAAAAGAATGGATAACAACAAAGAAATGAGTGACACTAATACTAATAACATCCAGCAGTTCCAAAGCATCTCCTATATGATAAACACTGGGTTAAACACTCTGTGTCAGACACCTCATTTAATCCTTACGAACAGCATATAAATTAGAAATAGTAATGTATTTCCATGTTACTAATGAAAAAACTGAGATCAGAGGGGTTACGGGATAACCTACTCAAGATTGTAATTGCAACACCAGACAGATGTGTGTGATGTATCAAAGTGGGCAGAGCTGGGCCTCAAGGAATCTTTGTTTTGTGTCATGTCATAACACATGGTTCTAACATTTACTATGGATTTGCACGGTCTCTGTATCTTTGTATCACTCACTGACTATTTCAGTCCTGGGCAGAAGCACCCACTTGACAGATGCTGTGGGGATTTCTTCCCATGCACACCTAGGGCTTATCATAACAAAGTGGGGTTTTATAAATGTTAAATTGGGTTATAGTTAGTTCCTAGAGGAACTGCATTTGTCCACATCAAGTCATCTTTATTCAAATATTCAATTATGTTTTTTATTTGATCAAAAGGTATGAGTTTTGTATACATATATAGATATACACACTGGCTGGATTTAAATAAGTATTGATGTTTAACAGTACTGCTTTAGAATCACTACTTGTTTTTATTATGAAAGAAAAATTTACAGAAAAGTTTTATGTTTATAACTCCATCGCTGATGTTAATCATGTTTTTATTATAATATCAAAATTTAGGTAGCTAGTGTCTACAATCAAGTAGTAATATACTTGGATTTTTACAAAATGTTTATATTCTTTCATCTTTAACTGTGTAACAGAATAAATTTCTATCATGTAATATTTGCATAAAAATATTCTTTCATCTTTTAAATGAAGAGCAATCATTGTCATGCACTTACATATGTCATTTCACATTGTACCATGTACATTTGAAATTTGGCCAATATTGTGTTAACATCAAGAAATAATGGGTAAATTAAACTCAGCCTGTGTGTGTGTGTGTAATACAAATTGTTTGGGTAAAAAAAAATTCTAGAAGTCAGGACAAGAACTGTGTCTTAATCATTTGTATTCCAGCAAAACATTGAAAATGCATATCCTCCCGAGTAGAAAGATTTGGCAGCATATACTGCTATTTTGCCTCTTCTTTTAAAGCTGAAATATTCGTATTAAGTTTTTGTTTGTGAACAATGAGAAACAATCAGTTAACTCAAAAAGAAGACGTTAATAGAAGGATATCAGCAAATGCACAGGGAGGCGAGTGAACCAGAGGAGGCTGGCCGGAGGAAATACAGATCCCATCCCTGCTTCTAGCTCTGCCTTTCCTCCCAAGAAAGGGATGCTGCTGCCTCCATTTCAAAATAAACTGTGAAGTGTCTACACCTTTCTCATTACTCATTGAAGATTCCAAGTCCTGAGCAAAAACACTGATTTGCCACAGAGAAGCTAGGTCATGTGACCACGTTTTAGTTACTAAAGAAGTAGGAGGAGGGAATACTGGGTGTTTTTATTTCTGAATTGGGAGCAGCAGAAACAAAAAGAGGTGGCAAATGTCTCCTGGGAAATGATTAAATGGGGCTGATCACCATTGATTTCAGTGAAGGGTTATTTTCACAACTAGAATACATTCATTTTGGAGGCGGAAAGCAAAAACAAATAAGGCCAGAAAAACTGTTCAAACATAATTTTGGCTACTGATTAACTTTGGGATGAAAACCATAACAGTTCCTTGGTGAAAATGAGAAGGTTCAAACTACCTAGCACTTTTCAGGTAGAAGAGGTTATCTGTCCAAGTGCAGTTACTGAACTAAATGAAAGGGGCAGGTTTATCATAATAACTTTTTCATAATAACTTTTAAGCTTCTTCCTCCTTGTATTCTTGGGGCTTACTAGACAAATAGAAAAAAAATCACACTTTTATATTATCTGTGGGTCTCCTTTGACAGCTGATTTCTTACAAAAGGTTTCAGAACAAACTGAAGTCATAACCAAATTCCACAATATAGCTGTTGCAGTCATTTCTGCCCAGCCACATGCTTTTAAAAGAAGAAGAAGAAGAAAAAAAACTAATGAATCTGATAAAATCTTATAGATGTTACCATATAAACAATACATAATTTTAAAAACAGGAAATTCTTACACAAATGGTCAACTGAATTCAGTATCTGGAGTGATGAAATTAAACATACCACGGCTTTTCACCTATGAATGAAGTTTTAGCACATAGGCTTGACATAGATTTGACTTATTTTACTAACACTTTGATTGTTTAAGCATTTTCATAGTTATACCACAATTTCCTTTCTCTCTCAATATATTAAAATAATAATGATTACAACCACCACCACCATTAAAATGGCTTTGTTGAATCAAACCCTTTAAACCAATGACTTATTTTGTCTTTATAATGACATGATATGAGCTTTTTAAAATGTTCTTTTTATTTTATTTGCCGGAGTCTTGCTATGTTATTTAATCATAATGGGGATAGCGAATATCCCTGAACAAACAGTCTCTAAGCCAGTACCTGTCACCTGATTCATAACACATGAATCTCTATTGAATGAAATTTGATGAAGAAACCATTTATTAAGTAATGCTAGATTAAAAGTAAGATGTAACAAAATGTTATACAGAAGAAGTCAGTCAAGAATAAGTACATCCTATATAATTCAATTTTATGAAGTTCAAGAACAAGTAAAATCTATATATGGTGATAGATATCAGTTTAGTGGTTTATCTCTGGAAGGGGTTTTGACTGGAAGGGTCAAAAGGAAGCCTTTTGGGGTACTGTAAATGTCTTTGATCTTATGCTTTATGCATATTAAATTATGCCTAAAAATAAATCATAAAACAATATGTATGTAGAGTTACTGATAAATTTTAAATATGTGTGTGGGGAGTTTAATTAATTTGGAAAACATTCAAACATACTAAATTTCTTTTTGTCTTAAGATGCTGCAATTGTGGGTAATTGTGTCTTTATGTCATATATTTTATAATTTTCTGTTATGATTATGTATATACTTTAATAAATGAAGCCAAAGATTTTATCATTGTATCACAATACCTATGAAGTCTCATACAGAGTTTATGCTCAAGAAAAATGAGTACAATTATTTGACCAGGAATAGAGCTGTTATTCTGAGTCAAAGGTTTTGAGCAGAAATAGATATTTCAGCTCACTCCATATATTTGTGTTTTGGATAAGTGTCTACTTTCTTCTCCATAGTACCTTTAGTGCCTAGAATAGTTCTTGACACAGAGTTGGATGCCTATTAAATATTTGTTAAATGAGTGAATGAATCTGATGCACCCTAAAATTATTATGAGCTTAAGTATAACTTGAAGCAGAACTCAAGTTTCCTCTACCTGTAATGAAATTGTGTTTGTCTCTACTCAGATAGGTCGTGAATAAACAATGAGGCGTTCTCTTAAAGAAAAGCGCTCCTAGTTTCAATAGCAAGTCATGTAGCACAGCAAGAAAAAGGGATGGGATTTAACAACTGACAGATTCATTTGAAATCCTGATTTTGTCACATTGTCTTTTTGTGAAGTTTGCCTGGCTGCCCAAATATTCAAGCCCAATTTTCTTTATCTGCAAAACAGAAATGCTTCTGAAATTGAAGTAGATAATAAGAGTCAGCCCCTACTAAGCATTCACTATGTACATTCTCTTTGCTAAAAGCATTGCATATGTTACCATATTGCTTGTATGCAGAGTATATGAATTACTTAGCATAAAGCTCAATAAAAATACATTTCTTTTCTATGGCAATTCAATTCTTAAGACCATTCCAATTAACTTTCTACATATTTTCTATTGTCTAATTTCTTTTCTTTGGGTTTTGTAAATTATTTTAGATTGTATTTTCTTAGCATTTCCCTAAAGAATTTAAATTTCTTAAAGGAATGAACCATTTGCTTTCTGAGTGGTATAAAGTTCATTGAATTACCAAATCTTAGCATGGCCAGTGATGACATGTAATCTTTCCCACAATAAATGAAGTATTTCTCTAATGAAGAGACATTTGATGGATTTAGGATAGAGGTTTTTTGTTTTCTGTTTTTTAGATAGGGTCTTGCTTTGTGGTCCTGGCTGGTCTTGAAATCCTGGGCTCACGCTGTCCACCTGCCTCAGTCTCCTGAGTATCTGGGACCACAGACACACACCACTATGTCTGGTGGCTTTATACTTTAAGTGAAGCAGAGTTATTCTCTTCTGAGATGCCAAGTTCCATTTTTTGACAACTTTGTGCCTTCCACTCTTAGACCTTCTTTTCTCTGAAACAACATAGTTCTCTGACAAGCTGGAGATGGTTGCATATGAAAATCCCCATAAATTGATCATAAAAATAAGAAGTAGGGTAGTGATAGCTCTATTCTATAAATTAAAACTTTGTAGGGAGTGGCATATTCGATTTAAGAGTTTTGACTCAGAGAAGGGTAAAGATAGTGGAATCTGGAATAGGTTCTGATAGGGAATAAGGGTGGTTGATTAAAAGAAGGTAGAAGAATTTCTTAACTTCCAGGGACTGGTGCCAACATAGGAGATGTCTTGGCTAAGAAAGTGGAGAAGTGACATTTGCAGAGAAGATACCATGGAAGAGAAAGGCAAACACAGACAGTCTCCCCCTTGAAAGTAGGTTTGAGAAAGGTGAAGTGTTGAGTGGATGGATTCAAGGACTCTAATCACATTAACAGTGCTGAAACCAATAGGAACTGATGTCCCTGGAGTTTCTCTATAGTGAGGGAACAATATCATTTCCTTGTGTAGTGTCTGCCATGTGTCAGGTTCTCTGCTAGGCATTTGGAGGAATTATTTCATTTAGTAGTCAGAGCAGCCTCCGTGTTAGGAATCATTATCCCAGATGAAGAAGCAGAGGCTGAGGGAGATGAGGTGGGAGAAAGAAAAGAAAAAGGCATAAAAACTTTCCTCCTTTGGAACACAAATGAGAATGAGGCATGAGTTTTTTTAAAAGTACTGAGATTTCTCTCTACACCCCCTCCCAGCTTCTTTTCATGTCCTCAAAAGGCTGGGATTAGGAATCCTCCCACAGCCCATGTCTCCTGAGAACTTACATAGCACTGCTTCTGATTAAACTAACAGATTAGACCCAATGGCATAAGGCACAGCTTCTCTCCTTTGAGAAAGAGCAAGTAAGAATGAAGTGTTAGATTGCAAAGCTAATTATACATTCTGTTCAAGTGTCAACCATCTGTTGCAATTGTTTAAAAAGCAGACATAAGTCAACTGTTGGGGCGGGATGTTTATTGTTGCGAACACACAGGAAGCTTTCAACACCCGTGGAGAACTCTTGATCTATCACGTGCCTGTAGGCTGCAGTGAGATTCTACTGATGTCTTGAGAAACCCACCTTTTCAAGAGAGGGTAAGTGATAGCTCCAGGTAGCTGAAGATTAAGGACCAGTCACAGAGACCCCTTCAGCACTGGAAAAGATCTTCAACATTATATGATCCACACTCAGTGTACAGATGGGAGAACAGAGATACAGTGAAGATAAGGCACTACCTATTACTTATAATCTTAACAATATTCTGCAGAAATTTTGTGTCTGCACATAGAGCCCTCTCTAAAGGAAGGGGTGGAACACTATTTTTTCTCTGTACTTCATGTATAGTATAATACTCAATGCAGAAAAACAAAAGGAAAGTTGCTCTCAACATTGGAAAGTCAACAAAGAGAAGGAAGTTGTCCAAAGGTGTGCTGCTAGTGATGACCAGGGTCATTTGTAAAATGTTGTAAAAATATAATTAGTTGTAGTGTGGATGAAAGTCAGGATGCACAGAGAAAGTGGCACATTCCCTCCTACGCCAGAGCCATGCTGTTCTTTTCCTTATCAATTTCTTTATTGAATAAGCTGAAAGTTCTACCAAACTGAGGCTGCCCATAATTCTCTTTGTTAAGAACAACTGGAATGAGGCTGAAAGTTATTTTCACGTACAAAATGGGAGTCAATTGACACCCAACAATAAAGAACACTAACTCAAACCAGAAAAACCATTTTCTTCTGGTTCATTCTATTTCTGAGTGAATAATGAAGTCTTTTTGATAAAAGCAAATTTTGCCTTTTTATATTAATGAATATATTTAGTCTCTGAGACAATCAAGGGGAGATTATTATAGGCATCATGGGGAGGACTGCCTCCAGCCCAGTTGCATTGGAGTCTGCAATCACCATGTGGAGGTGGGAAGCATTCTCTTGCATCCCTGGCTTCAGACCACTCACCAGAGATGTGCGTTTCACTATCAGCATGTCACAGTGCATTGAGTGAGTTATCTTTCATTGATTTGAATGAAAGATAACTTCCATGTTTCTTTTTGTAATTCTATAATTTGTTTCTAGTTTTGCCATCACTAGCAGCATGTCCCTGGACAATTTGCTTCTGTCTTTGTTGATGCTCCAATGCTGAGAAGAACTTTCCTCATCTCTTTTCTATGAAAAATTACAAAATCCCTTCACTTGTTCCTCATGAGACCTATTATCCCGACCCTAGGACTGTTTCCTGTGGAAGCATTCCTATTGTCAGTGACCTATGAAAATAACATGCTCAGGTTTGGCCAATGGAATTTGTGAAGAATAAGTCATGGTTCTAATAACACCTTGCCACTGAGTTCCTATTTAATTGAATCATACTCAGGGAGCCAGCTAAGAATAAGAAGTGATTTCAGATTAATTGCTTTTCCTCGAAACTGGACATGATTTTAACTCAGGACTTCAGTTGGCTGCTGAGTCTTTCATTTGCAATTTTCCCCCTATTTTCATATTCAAGTCTTGGGCATTGGGCCCTGGGTCAACAGAGGAATACCTGACTACAATTTTCCAGCCACCTACATAGTCATTTGCAGCCATTTCCACCACTTCTTCAAAGACAGTGAAATGGGCACTACTTTTCAACCTGAGGTGTGGCTGATGAAGCTCAGTAGAGGTTACATTCTTATCTGCCTTTGAAATTAGATTGGTGATTTTTTTTTGTCAAAAGGGTGGTCACTGAGGTTCGTACAAAGACAACTTTAAGGTGTTTAAACAATACTGCCCCCTCTTGGGGTTTGGAGTTGAAGATCTCTCAGTGGGACTTAACTAGAAATTAGGTATCTTCTTACAGCTTAGAGAGAAAATAAATGAAAAAAATTATTGCAAGAAAAGTCATTGTTGTTTTTTTTTCACTTGATTTTCCTTACATTTCATTCTAATGTCAGAGCTGCTGTGGTTGTGTTAATGCCTCAACCTCACGATTATTTTTACTTTGTTTTCTTTACTGTTCTTACAATGTGAGGACCATATCGTTTCCTCATACAAATGCTACTCAAATGACCACCTCACTCCCTCACCCAGGGGAATGCTACCATCAGTCACTATGCTTTTAATATCAAGAAAAATAAAACTATCAATGTATCTTTTTTACTTAGTAGCATTTATTTGTATACTACCCCCTAAAGATTTAACGTGCATTTTAACAACCAACCAAACAAAAAAAATATAATAAAATAATAAAAGAACAAAATGAGAGTAAGAAAACAGGAGTAAGAGGAAATATTATTGAGAATAGAAATTCAAAATCATGGTGAAAAATGAAATTAAGTGTTCTGCCACATTATGGCCACTTTCTCACCTCCAAATTGGCCCCAATTTTGTTGAAAGTTAAGCATTATAATTTATATAGTTTTCGTCATGGAGAGGAACAAGATAATTATTTTATCTTGAGTGTTTTCACCCAGATCTTTATTATAGTTGATGTGCAATGTCCTGGTTTTATTTTACACTCTCTTTATTAGAGTGAAAATATATTACAGTTAATGTTAAGAGTAGTTTGTGTTTTAGTAAAAATACATAATATGACAAATACAAGTCACAAGGAGTGAATAGGAATGAGAGAATACATGTAGCTCAAATCCGTGTAACTAAATTTCTCCAGATTCTCTCAACAGTAGCGTTTGTTGTAAGCAATGTGTTGCAATACCATAAGGGGGACTCACAAAATAATGTCATCACAAAGTTCAGATGAGTGTGATCGTCTAATTGCCACATCTAGGGCAATGTGACCTTCACATACTGAGTTAGTCCTGTTGCAGACTAGAAAATCAAGGAGCTCCAAGTAAGGAGTGTCTGCCCTCCTTTTGATCTTGCTCCTGAGTCTGAGTAACTGAGATCTAGTCTTTTCTGGTATTCTGGCCAAAAACTGGGTCACTGCCTTAGAACAATCTAGTTATCCCTTCTCCTAACTGGATGAAATGTTTTGCTTTCGTCATACTTTTTAGGCACTCTGTTTCTTGCCCTAAATCCGATTCCTGTGGTTTGTCATCTGCCTTGACCTTTGCCATGAGTGTTCTTGATATAATAACCACCAGATCAATTCATCTGCTTAGTAGCTGTAGCACTGACTTCCCTTTTTTGGCCTCCTCCTCTGGGGATATTTGAGGAATAATTTGGTCTGCAGATCTCCACCCCTAACCATCTGAATTATTCAAATATCAACCCAGTTAAATTATAGTAATAAACATTCATCTCTGGATGACTTCTTTTTCTTTTAATCAATCATTAGAATTTTATTACTTTAAAAAATGGTTCTAACTATAAATAGATGTTTTTCCCAGGAGCTCTCCCTCAGGAAGCCAGGATGTTTTGGCAGTTCTTTCTTCTCTTTCTTTCCCCCTTCCAGTCAATGTCTTAGTCATCCTCGCAGGAGAATTTTGAAATCATGGGATTCACCCCAATGCACCTTTATCAAAAACCTATTTTATTTTCTGCAGATTTATGCCCAGGCCCTTTTCATACACTTTATATTATTTCATCTCAAAAAAGTCCTTGTAAAATTGCTATTACTAGTATCTCTGTTTTACAAGTGATAAGAATGACAAACAGAAAGCTTATGCTATTTGCCCAGGGTCACAGAATTAGTCAATGACAGATATGGACTTGGACTTGTGAATTTCCTCTACTTTCTCTCTTAAGGGCCAACTTTATGCAAATATTTTAACATAGTGTTTCTGTTTAAAAGTATGATTCTTTCTTATGAATTCAAACTGATACATTTCAAATTAGTAAGTAGCTTTATATTTCAAAGATGAAATCCAAAATCATCTGGCTCAAATGTATGTTAATGGTCAAAGTACTTGTGTTGAAAATGTTGAATTTTGTGTTCAGTTGTAGGGAATACGGAGTTCCTAGAGAAGGAACCAATGGGGTACTTTTTCCACAAGTTTTATTTGAAGGCCTGATGTTGCATTTTATTTCTTTTTAATTTTTTTATTTTTTTAAATTAATAGATTTAGGTGTACCAGTGGTTTTCAGTGATACGGATAAACTGTATAGTGATGAAGCCTGGACTTTTAATGTAGCCATCACCCAAATGGTGTACATTTTACCCAAGAGGTAGTTTTTTAACCCGAACCCTCCTCTACCCTCCCTGATTCTGAATCTCTAAAGGCAATTATACCACTCCGTATGCCTCTGTCTACCCAGAGCTTAACTCCCACTTATCAGTGAGATCATGTGGTAATTGGTTTTCCATTCCTGAGTTACTTCACATAGGATAATAACCTCCAGCTCCGTCCAAGTTGCTAAAAAAGACATTATTTCGGTTTTAATGAATGAGTAAGGTCAGGCACACGGTGGCTCACACCTGTAATCTCAACACTTCGGGAGGCCAGGGTGGGAGGATTGCTTGAGCCCAGGAGTTCGATAGCAGCCTGGGCAACATAGTGAGACTCCATTGCTACAGAAAATACAAAAAAAAAAAAAAAAATTCCAGGCATGGTGGTGCACCTACAGTCCCAGCTACTTGAGAGGGTTAGGCGGAAGGATTGCTTGAGCCCAGGAGGCAAAAGTTGCATTGAGCTGAGTTTGTGCCAGTGCACTCCAGCCTGAGTGACAAAGTGAGAACCTGTCTCAAAAAAAAAAAAAAAAAAAAAAGAATGAGTAGTCTTCAATGGTATACATATACATATGCCACATTTTCTTTATCTGCTCCTCAGCTAAAGTTAGATTGGTTCCATGTCTTTGCAATTGTGAATTGTGCTGCTATAAACATACAGATGCAGATGTCTTCTTGATATAGTGACTTCTTTTCCTTTGGGTAGATGCCCAGTAGCGAGAGGGCTGGATTGAATGGTACAGTTTAGTGCTTTGAGAAAACTTCATATGGTTTTCCATAGAGATTGTACTAATTCACCTTCCCACCCACAGTGTATAAGTGTTCCCTTTTCACTGCATCCGCACCAACATCTATTGTTTTTTTACTTTAATTCCGACTGGAGTAAGGTGATATCTCATTATGGTTTTAAATTACATTTCTTTGATGATTAGTGATGTTGAATATTTTTTCATATGTTTGTTGGACATTTGTATATCTTCTTTTAAAACATGTCTTTTCGTGTCATTTACCTATTTTTTAAATGGATTAGTTTTTTTTCTTTTCTTGCTGATGTGAGTTCCTTGTAGATTCTTGGTACTAGTCCTTTTTCAGATGCATAGTTTGCAAATATTTTCTTCCATTCTATAGGTTGGCTATTTACTCTATTGATTATTTATTTTGCTTCACAGAAGCCTTTTACTTAACTCTTATTTATTATTTTTGTTGGATTTGCTTTCAGAGTAGTCATAAATTCTTTCTTATGCCAATGTCCAGAGAAGTTTTTTATGAATTTTCTTCTAGAGTGTTTAATGTTTTGGTCTTATACTTAAGTCTTTAATCCATATTGAGTTAATTTTTGTATATGGTGAGAGACAGGGATTCAGTTTCATTCTTCTGCATGTGGCTATCCAATTTTCCCAGCACCACTTATTGAATAGAATTTTTTTCCCTAGTGGATATTTTTGCCTGCTTTGTCAAAGATTAGATAGTTGTGTGCATTTTGCTTTATTTTTGGTTTCTCTGTTCTGTTCCATTGGTCTATGAGTCTATTTTTACACCAGTCTCATGCTGTCTTGCTTACTGTAACCTTGTTAGGTTAGATGAAGTTAGGTAAAGTGGCATACCTCTAGATTTGTTCTTTTTGCTAAAGATTGCTTTGGCTATTTGGGCTCTTTTTTGGTTCCATACAAATCGTAGATTGATTTCTCTAGTTCTGTGAATAATAACATTGGTTTCTTGACAGGAGTTGCATTGAATCTGCAGATTGCTTTGGGCAGTGTGGTCATTGGCCAGCACCCCAGTGGGAATATGTGTCACTGAGACAGTCTCTGTCTTATTCAGGCTCTGGAGACTTACAGCTTTCTGTCTGACTCACAGTACAAGTTGCTGCTCACTGTTCCTTTCAAAGTATTCAAAGTTTCTTTCACTATTTTTGTTGAGTTCCCACGTTCTTCTTGGATGGAAGATCACCATGTGACTCTCTGCACATTTTCTTTCTCTTTCCAAGTGTTGAGCATGTTAACCAAGCCTCCAATCTAACATCTTAAAAATGAATTTTATTTCTAATTCTAGTTTCTTCTGGTCTGCTCTGTACCTTGCCCAGGGTTAGGCACACACCAGAAAGATGTCTTTGGCACTCTCCCTCCAACAGTGAACAGCTAAATGGCGGAAGTTGTTAAGGTGTGAAGACTCATCTCTGGCCAGTCTGTTTTATTCCCTAGGTCTGGGATTCTGCTTTTGTCTCCATGACCGAGGTACTAATTCACCTTTTACAGGAGACCTCTATTCTGAAAATCTTGCAGTTAAATTTTTGTGGGACCGGTTATTTTGCCAAACTATAAAAACAATTCCATTTCAGGAATAGATGTTTCCTGCCATGGTTGAAATGCTGCTCTGAAGATAGTGCTATTTAGAACCATGGGATTTCAGCATTTGATCTACTTTGTGGATTACTCCATGTTAGGGATGGGTCACTAATCGTGCAAGGCCCTGGAGGCTGACGGGAGCTAGGAGAGGAGGGAGGGAGGGTTTTCTATCCTCAACAGCATTCTGCCTCTCTCAGTAACTGTGATGTGCCCAGATCCAAAGGAAATTCATCCAAGAAACTGTGAACTCTCCATTTTCTTTATCACCTTAGGTATCAGTTGTTCCATTTTTCTTTTATATATTCGTTCACTCTCTTCCTTTTCCCTTTCTCTGACCTATAACTTATTTTCTTTTTCCATTTTACTACCAACAAAAATCCACAAAATAATGATTTTTTTAACCCTGAATCCTAGTAGTTTTTGCTGCATCTCTTCCCTTGGTTTACTGCCAAGTTGTTGAATGCCTAGTGGAAAATTTGAAGTTTCTGCATTCTTTCATGCCAATCACTCTGTTTAGCTGTGTCCTTCATTACCCTTTTAGAACCCTTCTGAATCTATTCCTCAGTGCACAGAGTCCTAAATACTATTTGTCCTTATATCAGAAACATTAATACTGTTAAGCCTTCTTAAAACGTCCTTTTGTTTGAAAATCTTACCAACTGTGGTTTACTTTACATGTTTTTTTTTTCTTGTCTATTTCTGAAAATAAACAATGGGTTTTCTGAACTCAGTAAGCAGAGACTTGGGTTTGAATGTCCATTTATCAAGTTACCAACCACTTACCCTTGGACAATTTCTTTATATTCCCTAAGCATCATTATTTTCATCTGTTAAGTAAGCTTACTATTAGCATCCATCACGTAGTTTTTAAAATATAATTTAAATAATATTATGCTTAGGAAATGCTTAGCATAGTATGTACTAAATATGTATTATATGCCACCTGCTTTCAATACAATTTTATTGCTAGTATTGTTGTTACCATTATCATTCTTCTTTACATTTCCCAAAGTTCTTCTTCTTTACTTAAATTTAGCTTCCCCTTTGGTTGAATCTTGGCTCTTCATCTTGTACATATACCCTTGCTTATCTTTAACAAGTATGTATATTCTGGTAACTCTCAGTCTGTATCTTTGGTTTCATTTTATTCTATAAATTCTAAACTTTTATATGTGACAACCTAGTAGACAACTCCCACTGCTCCTAGCACATATAGCAGCAAGATGAAATGTATTTAAAAAAATAAGTAACAAGGAACAAACACATAATAATAAGAAAATCACCATAAATTTACTCTGCCACCTGTGTGAAAATCTGGGAAGCATCTTAGACTCCTTCCCATGCCTGCATCTAACTCACCTGTAGATTTTAGCAAAAAAATTCTGTAGATTTTAATAAATTAGACTCTTTTTCCATTTTCATTCCTGGAGCCTGAGTTCTTATCTCAGCTGGATTAGCACAAAAAATTTATCAACCATTCACACCCTTCTCCATCCTCTATCCTAAAAGTAATCTTATGAGGGTAATCTTTTCCAAACTATAGTAAAAAACAAAAAAAAAATGCATAAATAAATAATATCATGTGTCTCCCCCTCCTAAAACTCCTTTAGGGTCTATATTGCTTATAGGGGCCATTCCCAGCTACTTAGCCTGGCTTAGAGGGTCATGCTCTGAGTCCTACCTACTCTTACTTAGAGGTTGCACGGTATGGTTGTTAAGAATAGGGCTGCAAAGTCATCTTGCCTGGGTTTAAAATATGCCTTCACTTCTTCCTCCTCATCATCCTGGGGACCTGTGATAGGCGTCTTCTGTTTAACCCTCCGAATCTATACATCAGCCTTCACTTGCTCTGCCAATTAGCTCCTCTGGACTCTGGAGCCACTTAGCTCCCCAGCCCTGCAGTGGCACTTGGATTTGGCCATTGAAAGCCACCTGCAGGACCTCCTCAGGACACCCAGAGAGTACTCCCTACCTGCTGGGCTGCACGGGTTGATAGTGCCTGTCTACTGATGGCCACAGCTCCAATTAGATAGACCTCTCCTATTTCCTTTTCCTGGGTTCTGATAATTGCCTTCTCTTCTTTATGGCCTAAGGATCATAGCATCTTTTTCCGTATTACTAGCCCCATGGTACTGTACCATCCATGCTGACTTCCCTAAACCCATGGTTTTCAAATGTCAGAGTGCATCAGAATCACCTAGAGGGATTTTTAGAAGACAAATTGCTGGACCTTATTCCCAGAAATTGGGATTTTGTAATTCTAGGATAAGGCCTGAGAATTTGCATTTCTTACAAATTCTCATATGATGCTGATAGTGCTGGTCTAGGGAACCACACTTTGAGGACCATTGGCTTAAACTATGCTCACAGCTTGAAAAATAGTCCCTTTACTACACACTCCAGGATCATCCAGTTTGAATGTTCTGTGGGTTCACCAACTGAATTAACATGCCACTAAATTCTCTAGAACTCAGATTTCTAATCTGCTAAATAAGATAAATAGTAAAATTGTTCCAGTCTTGCACTTCAATGCAAAGATGAAATGAGAAAATGGGTGAACAGTATATGGCATGAACCAAGAACTCCAGATGTACTAGCAGCTATTGTTACCAAGTTGCAAAGTCTCATTCGCGCCTGCTTTCCCAGGCATATCCTGTATTTCAGCCAAATGCAAGTAATTAAAATTGCTCAAAAACAAACTCTCACATTTCTATGGATACCATGGTTAATGTAGGTGCTTTAGCCTGAAGTACTCTCTGGCAGCTTTCCTGCCTCTTATATTTGTAATTTAATGCTTCAGGACTCAATTCAAGACTCCAGTGCATTCTTAGAATGAATGCTTTCACTTTCACTTCCTGACGCCATCATACTTTTATCCTAATTCGGTTTTAGTCTTGTCATAGGACATTGTTTTCATGCCATTCTTCCCCACTAGACTGTTGTGGGTAGCAATAGTGTTTTATACATCTTGGTAACCACAGTTCCTTGTCTAATACCTGAAGCAGGGTAAATAGTCAATAGAGTTGAGTCAAATGAATGCATGAACTGTTTCTAGGCTTTGTTTCCTAAGAGTGACCATGTTATTTAGCTTTGCCTATGACACTCAGAGAAATAGAAACCCAAACCCAAAATGTCAGAAACCATTAGCACTGTAATGGCAATGTGCACCTTTACTGTCACTGTTTCTCATTATCTGAATAAGACAGCACAAGGAAACAGATGGTTTGGGAAGACATAAAATAAACATGAGTAACACAAAACCTGCCATTCAATAACGCTAATCACACCACAGATTTTGGACAGTGATGTCTTCTCCACTTGCTAATAAAACTATTGTGAAACATATGTTCTGGGAAAAATGAAAATAGATAAAGGAAAGTTAGAAAAATTTCAACCCTGCCACTTGCTTTAAAATACTTGTCTTTCTGGGATGCTTTGCTACAAATTCAGTGAGTATACATAAAAATTCCATTTCAGAAGGCTCTCATGCCATATACAACCCTTCTATCACTTACTTTAAAACCAACCTGTACTTTCTCTGAAACGCTGTCATTTTATTTGTAAAAGTATTTCATATTCTAAGGCTGAGATGATTTGCATAGGTCCAGGGTTCTTATTTTGTACAGATCTGACAGCTTTTCAACAAAAATATTTCAAAGCCATTATGTAGAATTATTATTTTATGGCTTTTCTAAAGGATCATTTTGACTTTTAAAAGTTTTACAGTTTCGCATGTTTAGAATTTAAACCTTCAAATAGATACATCAAAAGAATCAGTGGAATTTTTGATTCTATGCAGAAAGTTTTAAAATATAATGTATTTGAAATAAAAGTAGCATGACCCATTTCTGTACCAGAGAACATGGCACCAGGTCAGTTTCACTATAGGAAAGCATCATATATAATTTTTCCCTTAATACATTTTTCACCTTAGTCAAGTCTCCACTTGTTGCTCCAGTTAAAACCCTGGATTTTGAATATCATATCATTTTAAAAATTTATAAAATATAGTATCTGAAATCATTTAGTAGTTGATGATTTTTAACTCAAAGATATTTGACTCTTAGAAAAAGATACTTGGTAATAATCCAAACACAGTACTTTTTTATAGGATCCAAGTTAAATTCTTCTGAATTCAGCCCACAAATACTTGGCACTACTTAAGTCTCCGGGTGGAATGTAAAAACTGGCTTATCCATCAGATATTTATTTGGTACTTTCTGTATTCCAGGCATTGTGCTTGACCTTGGTGGTACAAAGAAGAATGTCAGACTTGTATCACTTGTTTTCTTGGGTTTACCAGAAATCATTGTGAATTGAAGGAGGCAGGTCCTTAGAGAAGTGGCTATGGCTCAATGAGAAGTCAATAGGAACTGAGTGTTACAGGAATACAGAGAATGGAGGGATGGACTGAGAGAGAGTCAGAGAGATTATTCAGTTAAATTGAGAGGCACCAGTGGGAGATTACTCATGGAATCTGAGAGCTGAGACTTACAGACACAGGAAATCATGCTGAACAGCATGCAAAACAGAGAAGTGAACTCCCATGTACTTTGAGACAACATTGGACTTTAAACTCCAGAAGTAAGTGGCTGTGTATAGTTCATGTTCCATTTTAGCCTAGTGTCTAGCACAGTGTGTAGCATATTTTTATTGGACATGAAATACTAAATGCAAGAGTAAATGAATGACTAAACTACAGCTTTTGTCCTGTGATAGTGAAAGAGATATGAGTCCTCAAACTAAAAATTTTGGCCAGGCATAGTGGCTCAAACCTGTAATCCCAGAACACTGGGAGGCCTAAGCAGGAGGATCACTTGAGGCCAGGAGATAAAGACCAGCCTGGGTAACATAGTGAGACCCAGCCTCTACAAAAATAATAAATTAGCTTAGTGTGGTGGTGTACACCTGTAGTCCTAGCTATTTAGGAGGCTGAGGCAGGAGAATTGCTGGAGCCCAGGAAGTTGAGGTTTCAGTGAGCCGTGATTGTACCACTGTACTCCAGCCTGAGTGATAGAGTGACACCGTGCCTTAAAACACACACACTCAGACACACACACACACCTACCTCACTAGGTTGGGAGTTTGTTGGAGTACGTATTATGATAATTATTTAGGACTTTATCCTGCAGGATATGAAAGATCATTATGGCTAAATATTAAATCAAGCTAAACTCTGAACTGATTAATACATTCTTCTTTCAAATAAATATTTATTGAGCATCTACTGTGTACAATTGAAGTGCAACTAAACTCTGCCTACTGTCCTCCTGAAGTAGTCATTCTAATTAGTATTATGACAATAAACAGGTATAAAATAACAAATGTTCCAACTATAATTTGTAATAAGTATTATGAACCAGAAAGTCAGTCAATTACCTCTGCTTGCTGAATCCTACCAGCTTCCTGTTTTGTGAATAAAATGATATTGTTACACACCCATGGTTTTTCTTTACATAGTGTCTGTGGCTGCTTTCAGGTTATGGCGACAGAGTTGAATGATTGTGATAGACACCTTAGGGCCTGTGAAGCCTAAAATATTTCTAGCTGGGTTTTTGCAGAAAGAGGTTGCCAACCCTTGACATAAATGAAACAAATGAGGAGCAGAAATGAAAACAAATGAAGAGTAGACCACGCCAGACAGGATTCCAGAAATGACCTTGGTAAGCAGGTGACATTTAGGCAAGGGTGTAAAGGATGAGTAGAAGTCAGCCACATGGAGATAGGGAGGCGGCCCTGGAACAGGCAATAATGTGAGCAAAGGCCAAAGGCTGGAATGGCCTTAGCATGTTTGGTGTCCTCAGATATGAGCAATGTAACTTGGGGACATGGTCAAACAGAGAAAGGGGTTGTTATTAGATTATGTTAGAGATAAACCAGATTGATCTGTCTATCAATCTGTCCAGCTACTTCTCTCTGGAGATAAACCTTGATGGGATTTAAAAAATCAGTTTAAAAACAACTCATGCAGACCTTAGCCTATCAGTAAACACCTCTTGGATTTTCACTATGAATATTGTTAATAGACCTAAAGGGTATATTGATGACAAAGATAGGCTCTTCTCCAACCGTGACAATAAAGCTGGCATGAAGAAGGTTATTTGTGAGGCAAAGCCAATTAAATCTGCATTTACGCTGATTTTGCAGTGATTCTAGAGTGATTTTTTTTTCTTTTGAATGGCAGAGCTGGCAAAATGCTAACAAATTCAATGTACCATGCACCACATGAAGCCCAGAGAGTATTTCTAGAAAATGATGATGGTTTTCTAAACTAGTCGAAAAGGGGAGGGTTATTTTAGCCCTAATGCACTCCACTATATCAAGTTGTTTGCTTGAATTATTTATGTGTGTATTGCGATTTTTAAATGGGAGCATCAGAGACACTTAAGCCACTGAGAAGTTAAAGACCTTGTAGGTCGTTCAAGGAGAATGTTAACTAGGGCAAGCGGCAGTGGCTGGAGAAATATGTCCAATCCACTTCACAAGTCACAGGGGCTTGGCTGTCAGACAGAACCAGATATGAAGATGGATTCAGTTATTTTTCAACTCCATGAACTGAGGCACTTACTACCCTTACCCCAAGCCTCAGTTTCCAAATCTCTAACCTTGGGATCATACATTCTGGATTAGAGTTTACTATGATTTAGTAATATGTCAAAAGAATGAAATATACAGTAAACATAATGAATTATAACTATTGATATGATTATTACTGTTATTTTACTCCAGAAAAATCCAATAAGCATGAGAATGCAAACTCAACACTAGGAATTTCACTGGGTACAAAACACCTTGGTTCTTGTGGTAGTGAAGAAAACATAAATCCCGCATAACTTAAAATCAATGGGAAGAAGGCCAGTGTTTTATGAATATCCTTGAGTGCTTGTTAAAATACTGTGTCCGAAGCCCCATTCTAAAATTCACTGAATCAGAATCTCCTAGGGAACAGCTAGAAAGCTACTTGTTTAACAGATAACCACGTAATACAAATTGTTTGGTATTATTCAGTGATCATCCATGCAGAGAAACACATATATGAATTCCTGCCTTAAGAGAAGCATAAACAAAATGCATTAGGAAATCCAACGTGGGAAAAATACCTCTAAATAAAGTCCTAATTTTCTGACTCTGAGAACATATTTAGGAAAAAGACAATTGTTATATACCATTAAAAATAAAATGAGTGAGACTAAATGATAAAATATATCTGAACCAAAAAGCAAGTGTTAAATCTGAATAATAAAATACTTATTTTCAGGTAAACTTCTTCTAGGATTTGCAATTGAGAAATCAATTTTCTCATCAGCTAAAATATCATGAAATTTCAGTCACAGATGCTCTGTGAGAAAAGGGAGTATGTTTTCTTCAAATCTAAATAGTAAAATACAGCAAGCAAACAAAAACCTGCCCTTAACATGTATCATAACATGGTTGCCCCCGTTTCCAGGAAGGAATATGCTACAAGAAGTCAGATGTTAACACGTTCAGGTCTCACAAAGTTATGACAGTGCTGAGGTCAACATAGCCATTGGGAATAAGAATACCCAGCCCAGATTTTTTTTTTAACTTCTATTTTTAGGCTCAAGAGTACATGTGCAGATTTGTTATATAGGTAAATTGCATTTCATGGGGGGTTGGTGTACAGATTATTTTGTCACCCTGGTAATAAACATAGTATTTGATAGGTAGTTTATTAGTCCTCTCGCTTCTCCCACCCTACACCCTCAAGTAGACCCTGGTGTCTGTTATTTTCTTTGTGTCCATGTTTTCTCATCATCTCATTACTTTTGATGATGTTTACATCATAAGTAAGAACATGCGATATTTGGTTGTCTGTTCCTGTATTAGTTTGCTTGGAATAATGACCTCTAGTTCCATCCATACTGTTGAAAAGGACATAATCTCATTCTTTTTTATGACACCATGGTAATTAATGGTATATATGTATTTTCTTTATCCTGTCTACCATTGATGAGCATTTACATTGATTCCATGTCTTTGCTCTTATAAATAGTGCTGCAGTGAACATACATGTGCACATATCTTTATGGTAGAATGACTCATATTCCTTTGGGTGTATACCTACTGAAGCAGACTTTAGTTATATACCTAGTGAAGCAGACATTGTCTCACAGCCAAGGAGATCAAGGACGTGGACACACAAAGGGTGAGGTTTAGAGTAGAAATTTAATAGGTGAAGGAAAGAGAATAGCTCTCTGCTACAGAGAGGGGCTCCAGAAAAATGGGTTGTTGTTTCAAAGTTTGGATATAGAGGCTTTTGTAAGAAACCCCTATGGGGTTGGGCATCTCATTTGCATAAGGTGTGCATTTCTGGTAGTTCCATCCCATCCTCCTAGTGTGCATGTGGGATCTTAGCTTGAGTTATTCCATGTTGCTTTCTTCCCCTTACTGTGCTTGTGTCAGGGGACAAAATTTTCCATTGTGGGCATGTGTGGGAAAGTCTCCTGTGTAGCCTTTCTCATCTATGTGCCTGTGGGGATGTCTTAGGCAAGCCCCCCTGGGAAAGTTCCCTTATCTGTGCCTGCAGCTTGATTTTCCAGGCTATTCTTTTGTTTGAAAGAATTTAACCAAGGACCTGCTCTAAAACTGAGGACCCACCCTGTCTTCCTGATCGGTTTCTTCCTTTCTCCTCTCTCACTAGTAATAGGATTGTTAGCCCAGATCTTAAAATCCATCTGAACAGCCCAAAGTCAGATCTGGGGACAAATACACAGAAAAAAAAGGCAGATGTTGAACTTTATTCTATGAAGAAAAGTGAGATAAAATAGCAGTGGTAAGAGCTAGTTGTAGCCAGAACAGTAGTGGTAGAAAGGCAATGGTGAGGCAATGATGGATTACACACTTACTATAATATACTACTAAAACCTTGAGTGCAACATCTCCATTAATCATCTGCCGTCTTATGCATAGATCCTAACATTGTCTCCATTTTACAGAGGAAGAAAATCAGCTGGGATGCAATCAAGTGCATTTCATTAGGTCAGAAGCTTATAAGTGGTTATGCTGAGATTTGAACCCATGTTCTCTGACCTCTGACCTTATTTCAATTTAAAATTGCATCTCAGGAAGTAGGAATGAGAAATCTGATTCTATTTCTTGTTGTTTGACTGTGGACAGCTTTTAGACTCATCTCCTTGTTCTCTACATCTAAAAAAACATAAGCAAGCTTTCCTCCCTTGGCTCCCACAGGAAATTAAAACCGTGCAAATCACTGCCCACCTGGAACTCTCACTGTGGGACCCCATCCTTTAACAATAAAAACCCAAACTGTTACCCACAAAAGGGTGAATTCAATCGCTTGCTTGCAGTGACAATCCAATGACCACAACCAAGGAGGATTTAACAAGGAGATTTTGTTACTTTTAAAGAGTAAAATGGACACCCACCAGGGGTAGTCCCTTAAAGCAGCATCACCTCGAACAACAGGGAAAACAGGACTTTCATTAGGCTGGTGAGCTGAGTCATTGTATGTAGAGGTGGAGTAAAGGCAGAGCAGGTACAATCACCATGCTTCTGCATCCGTCATGTGTATAAGAAATAGCAGATAGGCTCCTCCCAGGGAGGTGTTTTTAGTGTGGTAGTGAAGAAACTTCACTATGGTTCATCTCCAACTCGGGCATCTCTGGATCCAACAAGTTTTTTGTTTTTCCCAGGCTGATCTTCTTCCAGGCACTTTTTGAAACAACAAGAACTTAAAGTTCAACCATTACAAGTGGAAACTTTTTCACAGTACATACCCCAAAACCCAGGAACCCTAGGTTACAAAACCAGTTTTCTTTCTATGCTGTCTCAGGTCATATTTTGACCTTCTTGAAAGTCCTGCCCTGATCGTCCCAGAGATTTAAATTATGTAAGTAATAAACCTTTTAAACCCTCTTGGTGTGTGTGGTGTGTGTGTGTGTGTGTGTGTGTGTGTGTGTGTGTGTGTGAGAGAGAGAGAGAGAGAGAGAGAGAGAGGCATCATTGGCCAGGCGCGGTGGCTCACGCCTGTAATCCCAGCACTTTGGGAGGCCCAGGCGGGTGGATCACGAGATCAAGAGATCAAGACCATCCTGGCTAACATGGTGAAACCCCGTCTCTACTAAAAATACAAAAAATAGCCGGGCGTGGTGGCAGGCGCCTGTAGTCCCACCTACTCGGGGAGGCTGAGGCAGAAGAATGGCATGAACCCGGGAGGCGGAGCTTGCAGTGAGCCGAGATCACGCCAATGCACTCCAACCTGGGCGACAGAGCGAGACTCCATCTCAAAAAAAAAAAAAAAAAAAAAAGCATCATTAATGTTGACATCCAAAATAAATTTTGGGTGGGAGTTTTTCTGCCTCTACAGGTGACCACAACAAATGAAATGTGTTATTTAACTTGTCTCCAACTTTTGTTCTTTCCCCATGTGCATTATTTTGATATTCCACACTAAACACCCTCATCTCCTTCCTCCTCCCTGTTTCACTTGGGACAATTGTTTCAATAGCAAATGTTGAATGTAACAGGTCTTCCTCTCTGAACACTGGAAATTATCACTAACCAAGTACAGCCCATGTATACCTGAGATCTGTGGCTACTCTGGCATTCTTCTTACAATTATTTTTTTCTAGACAGCCAGAGTTGATTAATGTTGAGAAAATAGATAAAATATTTTTACCATCCTAGACATATGTGTTTGTGTTAGGACAGGCAGGGAGCTGTGGCTATTCTTCAACTGCAGCCTGGGTATATAAGATGCCTAAGATACAGTAGTTGTTGGAAATACTAAGCAATAGGAAAGGGACACTCTGTCTCAAAAGTCCTTCAAAGAGGCAGGAAAAGTAAGTAATGTCAGAAATATACCTGAGATATAATAGTGACCTCAGGGGCTTTGCTTTATATAGTTGAGACCTGTAGTTCTCTAATACATATTTTTCTCAGATTTGATTAAAAAAACAAATAATGAAGCAACAGAAAAACTTATTTTCCTTAGCACCGAGTAGCACCCATTAAAGAGACCCCCGTAGGTACCTTTACATTCTTGAGAAAATATCATGATATTAAACTCAGGGAGTGACACAGTTGGCAGAATATCCCTTGAAAATATTTTGCCTTTCAGCTGCGAAAGTTTCTCTAACAAAGTGGATGTTAGAAGAAGCTCCCAGGCACCCCTGGCTATGTCTAGAGCTCATTATCTCCTCATTACAGGGAACCTGAGGGGGATGAGGAAAATGCATTCAGAAAGATGCATTCATGTTTTATTGATTGCCAACAGAGCTCAAGTCTCTGAATTCTCACACTCTGGGATATTTTGTTAGGAAAATAAGCACAGTAGGCTCTTGTTTACATGCCCTCTTCCTTCTGGTACAATTGATTCCAGCACAGCACAAAACTGAGCATCTTCCCCAATTAGGTTCTCATGAGCCACAACCACACAAGAACTAAAGCAAAGCTTTCAATAAGCACATTGCTTATTGTCTCAGAGGATCTGAAACATATCCTATTCATTAAATCCCCTCTTTCGATGAATGAGAAAACTTGGGTCCAGAGAAGTTAATTGGTTTGTTCCTGGTCACACAGCCAGTGGTGACAGAGCCTAGGTTAGAATTCAGGGTTCCTGATGTCTTCAATCACACCTTTTTGGTTATTCTAACTGCATATATTTTCCCATTTCTGGAGAAAAAAAGTAATAAAGTGGTAATTTTAAACTGTCCTCTATAATTTCAACATATATTATAGAGCCCATCTTGGCATGCTATGATAACTCAGTTTGTGGAGAACTCAGATTATATTGGAAGGTAGCAAACTGGGGAGGCAGTTATGCTGAGGCTATAACAGTTAATAGATTTGTGAAGAAACTTAGGAGATTTCATCCTGACATAAAGACACAACATAGTGGAAGCATGATAGCTGTCTTGAGGAAAAAGGAATTGATTGACTCTTAAGGGCAGAAGCAGGTAGAACCAATGAGAAAATTGTTATGAGCATGGACTTTGGAATCAGAAAGAGTAACTAGGATAACTTTGGGCAAAATATTAAACTTTCTGAGTTTCAGTTTCTGTGCCTGTAAAATAGAGATAATACTTAACTTATGGAGATAATACATAGGACAACTTTATAGGGTGGCTGTGAAAAATATATTAGACCATGTTAAGAATGACTCTTCATGAGGCAATTATTGTGCAGTGTTCTAAGCATTTTACATGTGTACATTTATTTTTGTCCTCCCACAACCCCATGAAGCAAGTGCTATTATCTTTTTATGGATAACAGAAAAATCGAAGCACAGAAGAAAGAGCTTATAGTTGGAAAAGCAGAGATTTTTGGGTTTTGGGTTTTATCTGCTAAGTCAAATTGGCTCCAAGATTCATGATCTTCACTACTATGTTAAATTACCATATTTTAAGATCCCTTTACTGAACACATAATAAATGCTCTGTAATGTCTATACAATGGTAACTTCTATAACAATAATAATAATTACTGTTGTCATAAAATTAATGATGATAAATAAGAATAAAAAAGGAGGACGAGGAAGAGGGACAGAGGAAGAAGGTAATTAAGGAATTTGCCTAAGTTCACATATATGTTGCATCAGCCAGAAAAGGCTACATTTTGCTAACAACTACCCACAAAGTCTTAGTGGATTGATACAAATCACTTCTACTTACATTGAGTTGTTCAAGGTAAGCCACAAACCACACTTAATATCAGAGTGTATAGGGAAGTTCCATAATACTTGTGCTTAGGAGAAATTTAATGGTTATGGACAGTCTTAATGACTTCTATTGTCAGAAAGTAGGAGAGCCAGAAATAGAAACTGGGTTTCAGTTTTTAAGAAAGAAATTTCTGTATTCATTTTCTATGACCACATCACAAATTATCGTCAATTTGTCAGATTAAAGCAACTCACACTTTTCTCACATTTCCCAGGTCAGAAGTTCGTGTAAGCTCAACTGGGTTCTCTAATTAAGGTCTCATGAAGCTGAGATCAAGAGGTTGCAGGGCTGGACTCAGACTTGAAGAAAAAATTCATTTTTGAGTTCATTCAGGTTGTTGACAGAATCCTTTGGTGTAGTTGGAAGGTCCCCCGTTTCCTTGTGATATTTCAAGCCATGGCCTATCATTGATTCTAGAGGCCATCCCTAGGTCTTTTCAGATAGCCTGTTCCATCTCCCAATCAGGAACAGTGTGTCAATTCATCTCAAACTTAATTTCCCTGGTTTCTCCTTCTGTCACTATCCAGATAAAATGTCCTGCTTTTAACAGCTTACGCAAGTATTAGGTTGGTGCAAAAGTAATTGCGGATTTGCCACTACTTTTACTAGTTCAGGCCCACCCAGATAATCCCTCTAACCGAATCACTTGTGCTATATAATATACACAGTCATGGAAGTGATAGTTCATCATATTTCTGAGTTTTGAGTTGTCTTAGTCAGTTTGAGCTGCCATAAGAAAATATCAAAGGCTAGGTAGCTTATAAAACAAAAAAACAAAAAAACAAAAAAACATAAATTAATTTCTGGCTGTTGTGAAGGCTGGGAAGTCAAAGATCAAGGCACCAGCAGATTCAGTGTCTGGTGAGGGCCTGTTTTTTCATCGATGGCACCTTCTTACCCTGTCTTCACATGTGGAAGGGGCTAGCTAGCTCTTTTTCATTTATTTTATAAGGGCACTAATCCCAATTATGAGGGCTCTGCCCTCATCAACTAATCAGTTCTCCAAAAGCCCTACCTCCTAATATCTAAAAGAATTTCAACATGTACACTTTAAGGGGGTTCAAACATTCAGACCATAACATGAGGTTAAAGTGGAACATCTCTGATGGACCATTTTAAAAAATTCATCTGCTGCACCATAGCATTCACCAAGGGTGATATGGATTGTCTTCCAAGACAAGTGTTTCCTTAATTGCAAACACAAGTCACAGCCCAGGATGGAAGATCTTCTTTCAGTTAAGTTGCAAAGAGGATATTTTGGCTTTCTGGAGCCTGAATTACATACCCAATTGCTGACTCTTGTTTATTTTTGTTTTTTATTTCTTACATAGCATAAATAAATGAAATTTAACTATATTAGTTTGTAACCTGTAACCATATCACTGAGTGATTCACTGTTTAGGTAAGAATATGTGTGATTATATACCACATATATATAACTGTATTAGCTTGTAACAAATTGCCACTAACATAGTTGCTTAAGCTATCCAAATTTATTATCCTACAAGTCCAAATTTACTATTCCACAAAGTGGAAAATGTGACAGAGGCCTCACTGGGCTAAAATGAAGGTGTCATCGAGATGTATCCTATCCTTTCTCAGGTTTTAGAAAGACTCATTTCCTAACTTTTGTGGATTTTAGAGGATGCCCACATTCTTTGACTCATGGTCTCCTTTTTCCATCTTCAAAGTCTACAATTCCAGATCAAGTCCTTCTCACATGGCATATCTGCCCCTTCCTTTGTAATTTCAGCTCTCTTTAATCAAGTGTCCTGTAAAGGTTCTAAATAATTATTTGTTTTTAAGGACTCATTTATTTAGATTTGGCTAGCCCAATATTCCAGGGTAATCTCCCCATATCAAGGTCATTATCCTTGATCACGTCTACAAAATTCCATTTGTGATGTAAGGTAGTACATTTGCAGGTTTCAGGATTAGGTCATAGACAATTCTGTGGGTCATTTTTCTGCCTATCACACTGACTTAACCAAACAAAAGTGGAAATCTATTCTGAGGATTTTTGCATTTATCAGGTAAATTTAGGATTTCCAAAAGAGTTTGGGATTATAAACCAGAAAAACAGTTGCAATCTCTCCCTCTGTGTTTTCTCTGCTCTTTCTGAAAATCTGCTTCATTTTTTTTTTCTCACAGAAACCACCTTTTCTGTTTATCCAGTCCACATAATAGAAAATGGCTGTTTTACATCTCTTGATTGTAGGATACTGGTCTAGCCACTGGCAGAGATTGTCTTGGCTATTTTCTTAGACCATATTTTCAAAATAACTAATAGTGAAGACTTGGTCTAATAAGCAGCACTGAGTGGTATAGGATTATGAGGCCAGATAACAGCTGCTAAAGATCAACCACAGAGTTCAAGGATGATTACTCATAGACAGGAAATGTTGGCTTGTTCCCAAGCAAGAGGTGTCCATTTCATATCAATTTGACTATGATTTTTATTGTATTTCTGCCATAACTATGGTCTTTTCCACCAGTACAGTAAGACTACACATTGCCAGAAGAAATGTCATCAGATACCATGCAGCTAACGTGATGCATATGTGTGAAGCAGCTTTGCATGTGCAGCTCATTGATGCATTAAAACTAATCTTTTGAATTGCAAAACATGAAAGAAATCAGAATGCACTGAAGAGATGATAGAAAGTTTTATGTGCATGAAGAAATGGAAAAGCCAGACACACATGCGATTTTGTTACTACACACGTGGACACTGATTGTCAGAGCGGCAGTGCTTGCCAGGCAAAAATCATCAAGTAGCTTCCTAATGTTTTCTTCTATTTCTATTGAACTCAGCTGATCGATAAAATTAAAAACTGGCAAAGATATCATCTAAAAACTCAGCATAAGATAGGTAGAAATGTTGTATTAAAAGTCTTATGGTTGGAAATAATATCAGACCCAGTCTGATATCTGGCCTACTTGGGGAAAATATGCTATCAAGGTATAACTGAGAATTGAAAATATTAAAAATAAAATTATACAACAGTAAAAAGTAATACAAATAAAAATACAGTAACAACTATTTACATGGCATTTACATTATATGAGCTATTATAAGTAATCTAGAGGTGATTTAAAATATACAGGAGGATATGTGTAGGTTATATGCAAATACCATCATTTTATATAAGGGACTTGAACACCTGCTGATTGTATTATCCACAGGGATCCTGGAACCAATCCCCCATGGATACCAAGGGACAACTGTATACATACATGTATATATGAGTATATTTACACATATAATAGCATCATTCTGTGCAAACCTGTTATTTGATGCAAAATATGAACATCGGTTGCTATGTAAAGTTCATTCTTTTATATGGCTGTACCATAAGCCATTTAGTCCAAATCCTACTGCTGAAATTTTGTCCATTTGCAGTTCATTATTATGTACAAAACTGTAACTTCTTTGATTATTTCAGGATTTAATTTCTAGAAATTATATTTTTTTTCTGTGAAGGGATTGAGGCTATTGATGCATATTTAAAACTACCATTTATAAAGGTTGAATTAGGGAGTTGCCTTATTATTTTGATTAGCATTTTTGCCTAGCATAAAGGTTGAATGAATTTTTCCCCAAACTATATACAAGCATTGTTTTTCTCTCTCAAAAAACACTAATGCTAAATATCATCATTAAATCAAAAAGAAACAAATACCAACAGTTTACAGTTGTTAAATACTGAATAATATGACTTTTATTTTACAAAAAGAAATATAAAAGAAAATTGTAGAGGTGCACCTAGATTAATAGGTAGAGGATACTTAGCAAGATTTTGGACATCTATTGTCAGGAAATAAGACTACCTCTCTCCCGTATTTGTATGCATCAGTTACCACCATTGCCTGAGAAACAAAGTACATTTTTTATTACTCTGTTAAATAAAAATTAATAAAATCCATAAGTAATAGTGACTATCTGCCCTCCGTACAGGTGCTGGGATTTTAGGGATCTGGCAGCTGTGTTCATGAAATATTGAGAAAGGGAAAGTACATCAAGATCAGATGAAAATTATTTGCGATATTTCAGAAGAAATGCAATGAACTGCATATCTAGAGTGATAGATATAACAAAGTGGGAGAGAAAAGAGATATGAGATATATTGTATATAAAGAATAAGCTTGACATTGTAATCTACGTTTTTTTGAATGGCATAATAAAACAGAAATCAGAGATAATGGCGAGTTTTTTTTTAATTTAGTCAATTGGCTAGCCATTAATAAATTTAGAATATGTATATGTATATGTATGCATGTGTGTTTCTATATATATATATATATATATATATATATATATATATATATATAAAATTCTTTTTTGAAATGGAGTTTCACTCTTGTTGCCCAGGCTGGAGGGCAATGGTGCGATCTCAGCTCACTGCAACCTCCAACTCCCAGATTCAAGCAGTTCTGCCTCAGCCTCCCAAATAGCTGGGACTAAAAGCTCACACCACAAAGACTGCCTAATTTTTTTATTAGTAGTAGAGATGGGGTTTCACCATGCTGCTCAGGCTGGTCTCAAACTCTTGACCTCAGGTAATCGACCCACCTCGGCCTCCCAAAGTGCTGGTATTACAGGTGTGAGCCACTGTACCAAGCCAAAATTAGAATATATTTTGAGAAGCTCTATTGGAAGAAGAATCTGATGTATTCAGGAAATTTCTGTGATTCTTTTATCAGAAAAAAACTCAATGCACAGATATAAAATTAATATTTGGAATAGTAGGAATAAAGACTCAGAGATCAAGGGTTAAGTTCAGCTTATAAGATTGGAGAATAATCTATACAACGTCAGTATAAAAGTCATAGAATTGAATGTGATGCCAGGATGCAACTCCAGGAAGATACGAGAAAAGATTAGTCATGATTACATGTTTCAGATTATTGCCTTTAAATGGATGAAAACCATAATTTATTTTAGATTTATGAAACCATTTTAGTTGCTCCTTAAAAACACAAGCCAACAAATTTAAAAATAATAGTAAAATGATATATCTCCAAATAGTTTCAAGAACCGTCACATCAGTCACAGCATTCTTCTTGTAATTCAGCTTGTTCTCCATGATGACTAAGCATGGCATAGATTTAAAATACCATGAGACGAATTTTTATATTTAAGCAAGAAATTAATTTTCAATGAAAATCAATGATTTCTTTTTTTGAGCCATTGATCCTTCCTTTGTGACCTTTTTTTTTTTTTAAAATCATACTTTAAGTTCTGGGATACAGGTGCAGACCATGCAGTCTTGTTACATAGGTATACATGTGCCATGGCAGTTTGCTGCACTCATCAACCCGTTGTCTATATTAGGTATTTCTCTTAATGCCATCCCTCTCCTAGTCCCCCACCTCCTGACAAGCTCGGTGTGTGATGCTCCCCTCCTTGTGTCCATGTGTTCTCATTGTTCCACTCCTACTCATGAGTGAGAAGAGATGGTGTTTGATTTTCTGTTCTGTGTTAGTTTGCTGAGAGTGATGGTTTCCAGCTTCATCCATGTCCCTGCAAAGGACATGAACTCATTCTTTTTTATGGCTGCATAGTATTCCATGACGTATATGTGCCATATTTTCTTTATCCAGTCTATCATTGCTGGGCATTTGGGTTGTTTCCAAGTCTTTGCTATTGTGAACAGTGCTGCAATAAACATACATGTGCATGTGTCTTTATAGTAGAATGATTTATAATCCTTTGGGTATATACCCAGTAATGGGATTGCTAGGTCAAATGGCAATTCTGGTTCTAGATCCTTGAGGAATCGCCACACTGTTGTCCACAATGGTTGAACTAATTTACACTCCCACCAACAATTTAAAAACATTCCTATTTCTCCATATCCTCTCCAGCATCTGTTGTTTCCTGATGTTTTAATGATCACCATTCCACCTGGCATGAGATGGTATCTCATTGTAGTTTGATTTGCATTTCTCTAATGACCAGAGATGATGAGCTTTTTTTCATATGTTTTTTGGCCACATAAATGTCTTCTTTGGAGAAGTGTCTGTTCTTATCCTTCACCCACTTTTTGATGTTTTTTTTTCTTGTAAATTTGTTTAAGTTCTTTGTAGATTTTATATATTAGTCCTTTGTCAGATGGCTAGATTGCAAAAATTTTCTCCCATTCTGTAGGTTGCCTGTTCACTCTGATGATAGTTTGTTTTGCTGTGCAGAAGCTCTTTGGTTTAATTAGATCCTATTTGTCAATTTTGGCTTTTGTTGCCATTGCTTTTTGTGTTTTAGTCATGAAGTCTTTGCCCATGCCTGTGTCCTGAAGGGCATTGCCTAGGTTTTCTTCTAGGGATTTTATGGTTTTAGGTCTTACGTTTAAGTCTTTAATCCATCTTGAGTTAATTTTTGTGTAAGGTGTAAGGAAGGGGTCCAGTTTCAGTTTTCTGCATATGGCTAGCCAGTTTCCCAACACCATTTATTAAATAGGGAATCCATTCCCCATTGCTTGTTTGTGTCAGGTTTGTCAAAGATCAGATGGTTGTAGATGTGTGGCATTATTTCTGAGGCCTCTGTTCTGTTCCGTTTGTCTATATATCTGTTTTGGTACCAGTACCATGCTGTTTTGGTTACCGTAACCTTGTAGTATAGTTTGAAGTCAGGTAGCATGATGCCTCCAGTTTTGTTCTTTTTGCTTAAGATTATCTTGGCTATATGGGCTTTCTTTTTTTTTTTTTTTTTTTTTTTTGGTTGCATAGGAAATTTAAAGTAGTTTTCTCTAATTGTGTGAAGAAAGTCAGTGGTAGCTTGATGGGGATAGCATTCAACCTATAAATTATTTTTTGCAGTATGGCCATTTTCATGAAATTGATTCTTCCTATCCATGAACATGGATTGTTTTTTTTTCCATTTGTTTATGTACTCTCTTATTTTCTTGAGCAGTGGTGTGTAGTTCTCCTTGAAGGGGTCCTTCACATCCCTTGTAAATTGTACTTGTAGGTATTTTATTCTCTTTGTAGCAATGAGAAGAAAGACACAACATACCAGCATCTCTGGGACGCAGCTAAAGCAGTGTTTAGAGGGAAATTTATAGCACTAAATGCTCACAGAAGAAAGCAGGAAAGATCTAAAATTGACACCCTAACATCGCAATGAAAAGAACTAGAGAAGCAAGAGCAAGCAGATTCAAAAACTAGCAGAAGACAAGAAATAACTAAGATCACAGCAGAAATGAAGGAGATAGAGACAGAAAACCCTTCAAAAAAACAATGAATCCATGAGCTGGTTTTTTGAAAAGATGAACAAAATAGGTAGACCACTAGCAAGACTAATAAAGAAGAAAAGAGAGAAGAATCAAATAGACACAATAAAAAATAATAAAGGGGATATCACCACTGATCCCACAGAAATACAAACTACCATCAGAAAATACTATAAACACCTCTACGCAAATAAACAAGAAAATCTAGAAGACATGGATAAATTCCTGGACACAAATGTCCTCCCAAGACTAAACCAGGAAGAAGTCGAATCTCTGATTAGATCAATAAGAAGTTCTGAAATTGAGGCAGTAATTAGCAGCCTACCAACCAAAAAATGCCCATGATCAGATGGATTCACAGCTGAATTCTACCAAAGGTACAAAAAGGAGCTGGTACCATTCCTTCTGAAACTATTTCAAACAATAGAAAAAGAGGGACTCCCCCCAACTCATTTTATGAGGCCAGCATCATCCTGATACCAAAACCTGGCAGACACACAACAATGGAAAATAAAATTTCAGGCCAATATCCCTGAAGAACATCAATGTGAAAATCCTCAGTAAAATACTGGCAAACCGTATACAGCAGCACATCAAAAATCTTACCTACCACAATCAAGTTGGCTTCATCCCTGGGATGCAAGGCTGGTTCAACATATGCAAATCAATAAATGTAATCCATCACATAAACAGAACCAATGACCAAAAAAACACATGATTATTTCAATAGATGCAGAAAAGGCTTTTGATAAAATTCAACACCCCTTCATGCTATAAACTCTCAATAAACTAGGTATTGATGGAATGTACGTTTGTGACCTTTAAAATACTACTCATATTTCCCTTGCTCAAATGGTGGGTGTGGGGGAAGATTAGGGAGTTCGAGAAGAAAATGAGGAACTCTGTAGACCTATTCCACAGGAAAGCAACGAAAATTTGTGAACACTAAAAAACATATAAGCAGAGAAAAAAACACAATACTTAAATTCATAAGGATATATAGCACATAAAGTAACTTAAAAAGATTTTTTTATAAAATATACTGAATCCCCATATAAACAGCAAAAGTCTCCAGAACTTAAGCCATGACCCATTTTCTGACCCCTCAGCTCAGTGAGACAGAAGTGCCTCTACTGGCAGGTGTGGAAAAGAAGGTAGATTGCGTTCTTCCCCCGGGCTACCAGGTCTGTGATATTTTCCAGAGGGAAACAGGACACCAGCTTTCTTATCTCTATCGGCTCCATGCTGCAGAGGCTAAATTCCCTGAGTATATTCAAGTGGTTGGGTGCTTCTGTATTCCACCCAGCTGTCACTTATAGGGCAGAAGCTCTATGCTAGATGTAACAGTCCAAGAATAAGTACAAGGGCCCTTGATTGCTCTCAGCATAGCAATCACATAGAGTGAAGTTTCCACAGTGGGAAAAGCATGTTGAAAATACTAGAGGCTCCTGCCCAGAGATCTGCTCAAAGAGCTGAAAGATGAGAGCTGTATGACTGGGAAAGTTGTGGGCCATTGTCCCTACTTCAACTGAAGAGCATTTTCTTCGATACTATGCCCCGGCAGAAAGGCAGGCCCTTAAGATGGAGTGCTCTAAAACTCTCCTCAAATGAATTGAAATTAGTTGGAACAGAATGTGGAGAAGTTCAAGCCAATGAGCATTCTCATAAACAATGGATATTTTGGTGGTAAGAAATTCAGAGGAGACTGGTAGTTCCATAAGAAAAACAAGGTAAGCCATTTGCTGGAGGTTTTTCAGAGAGTCACAGAACAGGGCAGGTAAGACAATCTCTCCTGAAGTCAGAGCAGTTCTCAAAGAATGGCTTCAAAGTCAGCTCCTGCAAAGAAGACCTACTTTATTGCAATCTGTATCCCTGGAAATTGTCAAAAGCAATAACACAATCAGCTAGTAATTTATGGAGCTGATCAACTGGATATGATACCAACCGAGGCAGACAGCTTAACTGCTAAATCAGGGAAAAAAAAAAACAAAAAACAAAGAAAGACCTGACAAAACTATTGGCATCCAAGGCTGACTGTGGACATGCCCAAGTATATATACTAGAAAAAGTGACATTAGATGCAAACTCTAGGAGAAATAGACCAGGGTATTCAATAGCACAGTTAAGTCACTAAAAAAACAAACAAGTAAACAACTGCAATAATAATCCATGTTGGAGGGGATTCAGTGTCCAGAGTTGCTACATTATATTATCTAAATATTAGGGGAAAAAAACTATGTGACATGCAGATAAACAGAAAAGCATGCTCCATACACTGGAAAATAAGCTGCCCAAATATTGGACTTAACAGACAAAAATTTCAAAGAAGCCAACATAAATATGTTGAAAGAACTAAATGAACTCATGCTTACAGAAGTAAAGGAAGGTATAATGACAATATCCCAATAAAAAGGAAATATGAATTAAAAGTTAGAGATTACACAAAAGCACCAAATGGAAATTCTGGAATTGAAAAGTAAAGTAACTGAAATGGGCTGAACTTGAATAAAATAATTAATCTTGGAGTTCAAGGGTAGATTTGAATTGTGAGAGGAAAGAATCAGCAAGACCAAAAAGAAAAAAGAAGATAAAGATGTCCACTCTTATTTATATTCTATGTTATACTGAAGGTTCTAGCCAGGATAATTAGGCATAAAAAGAAATAAAAGACATTCAAATTGGAAAGAAAGAGGTAAAATTATTTCTGTTTTCAAATGACATTGTCTTAACTATGGAAACACCTAAGGAATCTACACACACACACAGACACACACACACACACACACACACACACACACACACACACACACAGACAGATATAGGGGAAGGACACAGTTAGAGGTAGAGGTAATAAATGAATTCAATGAGGTAGCAGAATACAAAATAAATATTCAAAAATCAATTATATTTTAATAAATTATCAATAAGCAATCCAAAATGAAATTAAAGAAAAAAATGCACTTTCAGTAGCACCAAAATTAGTAAAATTCTTAGAATTAAGTTTAACAAAAGATGTGAAAAACATATTCTGGGAACAACAAAACTTTTCTCAAATAAATTAAAACTTAAATGACACTTCATTGATTGGTAGATATTGTTAAGACAGAAATATTCTCTAAATTGTTGTACATATTTAATAAAATCCCTATCATAATACCAGCTGGATTTTTTTCAGAAATCGACAAGCTGCTATTAAGATTCATATGAATTAAAGAAACAAGAATAGTAAAAATGATCTTTAAAAAACAAATTTGGAAGACTCACACTTTCCAATTTTTAAACTTACCACAAAGCTACAATAATCAAAACAGCTTAGTACTTTTGTTGAAATAAGGAAAGATATGTAGTTCCATGAAACAAAATTGAGACCAGAAGTAAATACATCCATATCTAGTGTATTTTTTTATTTTTTTAATTGAGACGGAATCTCCCTCTGTCACCCAGGCTGGAGTGCAGTGGCCCAATCTCGGCTCACTGCAACCTCTGTCTCCCGGGTTCAAGCAATTCTCCTGCTTCAGCCTCCTGAGTAGCTGGTGTTACAGGCGCCCACCACCACACCCAGCTAATTTTTGTATTTTTAGTAGAGACGGGGTTTCGGGGTTTCGCTATGTTGGCCAGGCTGGTCTCGGACTCCTGACCTCAGGTGATCCATTCACCTCAGCTTTCCAAAGTGCTGGGATTACAGGCATGAGCCACCGCGCCCAGCCTGTATTTTTTAAAAGACTCTCAAATTCATACAATAGGAAAGACTGACCCTTTGGAGAAACAGTGCTGGCACAATTGAATATTCACATGCGAAAGAATATTTACATCCAAAATGTTAGTTGGGACCTTTCTACACAATACACAAAATTAACTCAAAATTGACTATGGGCCTAAATGTGAGAGCAATAACTAAATCACTTAGAAAAAAATATAGAAGTAAATCTTTTTTACTTTGGGTTAGGCAAAGCTGTCTTACACATGACAGCAGAAGCAAAACCAATAAAAGAAAAAAAGAGATGAGCTTCATTTCAAAACGTTTGTGTTTGAAGGGATACCCTCAGACAAATGAAAGGCAACCCACAGGATGGGATTAAAAAGGTGCGTTGTAAATTATATACCGGATAAGTCTGGTGTGAAATTTTTATTTATAATATATAAATTTATTTTTACAGCTGAACAATAAAATGACAACTCAATTTAAAAATTGGCCAAGGATCTGAGTAAATATTTCTTCAAAGACAGAATACAAAAGGCCAATCAGATCATACAAAGTATGGTCCATACTGTAAGAAGTACTTTTTAAACTGTCTATTTTCAGAAAACAGGCCCAGGCAAGTCTGGACAGCTCCCTTGCAGGCATGACAAGTGACATGGTACAGACATCTGGGAAGAGTGATAAGACTCATAGAAGTCAGAGGGGAAGGAGAAAAAGGCCGGGGGCCTAATCCATAAAATGAAGGAAAGTTTTGCCATTGGGAAATTGAAACTTAAAGTGGGGAAGGGGACAAGATGTAACTTTACAAGGGGATAATGAAACTTAGGTGTCGTCCGGGAAGATTGTAACCCCACAGTACTCGGCCTATGAGGAACTGGGGGAGGGACTTACACACTGGGGGATAAATTGCTTGTTGAAACTGCACCAGGTGTGCCTGCTTGCCAGACACCCGATCTTGCGAGACCGTCATTAAAGTCTCGCTTTTGTTGTTCTTCATGTCTCTAAGTCCATTCTTTGGGTTTGGACAGATGAGTGTGTTTCTTACCAACAACATTAGCCATCCGGAAAATAAAATAAAACAAGCACACACACACAATGAGACACTGCTTCACATACATTAGGACTGCTTTAACCAAAAAGAAAAGTATTAGTAAGTATTGAGAAGAATGTGGAGAAATTGAAACTCTCAAACACGGTTGTGCAAATATAAAACGGTGCACCTACTTTGGAAAACTATCTGGCAGTTCCTCCAAAGTTTATACACGTAGTTATCATGTAACCCAACAGTTCCACTCCTATGTATATATCCAAGAGAAGTGAAAATATATGTTCACACAAAAAAAAATTCAAATACTTACAGCAGCATTATTTATAATTGTCAAAAAGTAGAAACTTCCCAAATGCCCTTTAATCAATGATGGATAAACAAAACTTGGTATATCCATACAACAGAATGATATTTGACAATTAAAAGGAATAAATTAATGATATATACCACAACATAGACAAATCTTGGAGATATTATGTTAAGTGAAAGAAGATGGTCACACACACCCCCCACATATTTTATGATTCAATTTATATAAAATGTTTGGATTAGGCAAATCTATAGAAACAAAAAGTAGACTAATGGTTGCCTAGGGCTGAGAGTTTCTAAGGTAAATTGACACTGATTGATAATGGGTATGGATTCTTTTGGGGGTAATGAAATGTCATAAAACTGATTGTGGTGATACTTGTACAATTCTGTGAATATACTAAAAAACTGAATTGTATGATGTAAATGCGTGAATTTTATATGAATTACATCTCATAAAGATATCATGTGTTTTGTTTTGTTTGTTTTTGTGGTTTTTTTTTTTTTTTGGTTTTTTTTTTTTTTGAGACAGAGTCTCGCTCTGTCACCCAGGCTGGAGTGCAGTGGCATGACCTCGGCTTACTGCAAGCTGCACCACCCATGTTCACGCCATTCTCCTGCCTCAGCCTCCCAAGTAGCTAGGACTACAGGTGCTTGCCACCATGCCCGGCTAATTTTTTTTAATTTTTAGTAGAGACGGGGTTTCACTGCATTAGCCAGGATTGTCTCAATCTCCTGACCTTGTAATCTGCTCGCCTTGGCCTCCCAAAGTCCTGGGATTACAGGCATGAGCCACCACGCCTGGCCCTAAAGATACTATGTTTTTAAAAGATATGTATAACAACTTTTCAGAGACTATTATATTTATCAAAAAACATGAGCACTTAATACTAAGGCAAAGGCATATATTGATTAAGTTTTATTAAGCTTATACATTACACTTTCTAGCCATTTTATTTTCTCTGATTCTTTACCTTAACTTGATTGACTGGTTCTCTTCCTAAAGGAATATTAGAAACATTAAATTAGAAGCAAGAGACTATAACATTAATGAGACAGAAATGAAAGTTGTACAAATAACAGTAAGAATGTAACTATGAAAGAATGTATAAATAAATAATATAATTAGGGGTCATTTTTCTACAGAGCAAGTAACTGGCCACTCTTCAGCAATTGATATCTGTAAAGAAGGTCACAATAATCAATGATTTTAACTTAAATTTACAATTTATATTTAGTAATGCAGGAAGTACATAGATGTTTCAAAATGATTTAAAGCCAAAATGATTGATTTAAACGAATTTAGATTTCAAAGTTGGATATATCAGCTATCTGTAGTATATATTTTATAAAATAATAAATTTCCACTTATTTCAAAGAAGTATCATTGTTTAATATTTTCTTATGTTTAATATAAAGACACCAATTAGAAATATCCGTCTTACACCGTGAATATGTTTCTGATAAAGACGTTGTAAACTCCGTGTTCATGTCATCATGTGTGTGTGCATTTATGTGTGCGATTATATGTTATCTGCAAATTTGATAGGTGCATAAGAACCCTATTAGGGAATCAGACACTCATCTCTCATGCCCTCATAATTCAAATCCAATGTCAACACAGGATCTATGACTCCTCCAAGTGTGGTTTTATTACACCTGTATACAAGTAACATCCAGCACCTGGTAAATGTTCTTCATAACATTTCTTGATTTTCTGTCCAGTTCAGCTTTCCCCTAAGCAATCTTTCCCAGTTAGTAACTAATGGTTTATTCAGTGTACAAAGTTTATTGTTTGTTTCTGAATGTGTCCCACTTATATTTCAGGCAATAGTAACAAATTAAAGTAATAACGGAGGAGAAAGCAAATAGTGTCCAGGAAATGTCAATGCTGAGAGATTGTAACTACACAGTCACATTCTGGTTTAGGGTTTCCATGTGTTTGACTGGAAATGGGGATTCAGTATTTCTGGGAAAGAGATTGAGAAATGCACTTTTGAGTGTCCAGTATTTTCAAATTAAGTATCATTATTTCCATCTTAGACTGTGATTTGCACTGGAGGATTCCTTTTTGCTGTCTCAATTTGGATTATATGTCACTGTGTGGTTTATGACTCAGACACAGTCATCCGTAACATTACTGACCTAGCAACAAGGGAATCTCAAAAACTGTGCTGGACACAGGCCTGTTGGCATGGTTGTGAGTCCATATTAACATTGCCTGCCTTACAGTCCGCATGCAAGCTGGTCTGCAGTACCAAATATTTCTTTTTTTACATCTGTGTGAGTTGTGGACCTGTTTTTCCTGCCTTTAACTACCTTGTATCTCATAATACAATGACTTAAAGATAATTACTTTCTTGTGATTTTAAATAAAAAGCTCATTACCAAAAATTAAAGCCACCCAGAAAAACATAAAAGAAGAAAGCAAAAATGTATAAATATCATACCTCCCACCCAAGCCAAATTATCATTATTTTCATTAGCTGAACAGCACCCCTCAAAAGCAATAGTATTTTAGGGTAAAATTGTATGTCCACTGCATCTACAAACAGTGATTTAAAAAGAATAGTGCTGAGACTTTTTAAAAGAAAGAATGAATGCCTTCTTTTCCTATAGGGAAGTTGAACTTTCCGTGAAAGAAATACACAGTGCTTGTACTCTGTGTAGTGCATAAGCATGCTTGAATCAGAGAATCTGTGCCGAAGTGTACCTCAGCACTGAGAGAACTGAGTATCTTTAGGAATTCACCACATCATTTACTGAATGTTTTAACTTTTGCCAGAACTGAATATATATGTGCATGTATATAAATTCATATTTGAAGTGGCAATTAAAATTATATTTGTGTCACTATGGGAAATAGAGCCTCCTCTGAACTGTCTACATTAGCAAATAGGTACTCTGAACATGTTGTTAACTTACTTGCAGAAAATCATATCTCTTAACAAATAATAGGTTAAAAAAAATAAAGTCCATCTCACATTTTTTTGTAATAGCTGCATATATTTCTGGTTCATGACTGTTAAGGGCAGACCCTGAAAGAATCGGCAGTTATTCTTGCCTTCTGGTATTCGCCAGCAGAAGGGACTGTGTCGTCTCCTCCCATGGAGTGGTGATACGACTTGTTCCTAAGCCATGCAATATCGCAAAGGAGACGGAATATCACTCCTTCCATTATGTTACATTATATGGCAAGGGTCATGGGATGTCACTTCATGATTACATTATATCATATGAGACATAATCTTCTTTGAAGATCTACATTAGATTCTCTTGCTCTCTTGATGGCATTGTAGAAGCAAGCTGCAATATTATGAGCTGCCTTTAAAGAGAACGTTTAGCAGGGAACTGCGGAAGCCATCTAAAGTCTGAGAGCAATCTATAAGACAACTAAGACCTGGGTTCCTCAGTCCTATTTTCATAAATGATAAATTCTATCAAAAACCTAAGGGAGCTTGGGAATGGATCCATCCCCAGTTAAGCCTTCAGAAGAGAACCCAACTATTGCCAACATCATGACTGCAGTCACACAGAGGAAACAGCCAATCCATGCCAAAATTCCTGCTCCACACTGTGAGCTAATCAATATGTATTTTTTGAAGCTACTAAGTGTGCCAAATTTATTATATGTTAATTGATAACTAATATAGTTTTCTAAGTTAAATGCAAGTGTGGACAAAAAAAATGGTATGGATTCAACATATGGATGCAACAAATTGGCAGTGCAGATAGTTTAGAATATATTATTTAATATGTATATACATTTTGGTTTGAAAATACAATGTGCATCTGACAAAATGGTGGATGGATAGAAAAGCATTATTCTCTGGGGAGCCTGAACTGTGATGCCTATTGCCATGAGGATCTTTGTGTATGTGTTTATAAGTGTACATGTATGTTACAGAATGTTTCTGACATGCCTATTGTCCCTAGACTAGGGAAACATGAGAATCAAGACTCTCTTTATAGATGGTCTAACTCAGGATATGAGTCTTCCTATGTCATTCTTTATTCTTTCACATTTATCATCTTTTATGATATGTACATATGGCAAAGATTATTCCCACTTTACAGATGAAGGAGCATTTACTTGAAAGGATGCAGAATAAAAACAGATATAATTCATATACTAAAAGACATTTCATAGACAATGGCACAATGATTTCTCCAAACCGCCCTACATTATATGATTTCTTATCTTCATTGTGTTGCTGATTAAACAGTTTAAGTGATTTATCCAGTTCCTCTTAGGAAGTGGCAGAATAGAAAGCTATGATGGTTAATTTTATGCGTCAGCTTGACTGAGCCATGGGGTGCCCAACATTTAGTCAAACATTATTCTGTGTGTATCTGTGAGGATCCTTCTGGATGAAATCAACGTTTGAATTGTTAGACTGAATAAAGCAGATTTCTCTCCCCAATGTATATAGGCTCATCCTATTTGTTAAAGGTCTGAAATGTTGACTCTCTCTCTTAGTCCGTTCTATGTTGCTGTAGAGAGATATGTGAGACTGGGTAATTTATAAGGAAAGGTGGTTTATTTGGCTCACAGTTCTGCAGGCTGTGCAAGAGGCATGGCACAAGCATCTGCTTCTGGAAAGGGACGTCAGGAGGCTTCCAATCATGGCAGCAGGGGAAAGGGAGAAGGGCAAGGTATGTCACATGGCAAGAGAGGAAGAAAGAGGGAGAGAAGAAGAAGGTGCCAGGCTCTTTTTAACCATCAGTTATCATGGGAACTAATAGAGTGAGGACTCAGCACAAAGTCATGCATAAAGGATCTGACCCGTGATCCAAACAGTTTCCACCAGGCCCCACCTCCAGTGCTGGGGATCAAAATTCAACATGAGATTTGAAGAGGACAAATATCCAAACTATATCACCCTCCCATAAGTAAGAAGGCCCCTGTGAGTGCAGTGTGTTTTAGTTTAAGCTACTAGGAAGGGTGAGGCAGGAGGATTACTTGTTGAGCCTAGAGGTTCAAGTCCTGCCTAGGCAGCACAGCAAGACCCCACCTCTAAAAAAATGGAGCCCCTCCTGTCATAGTACACCAGATATTTCCTGTCTTCTAACTTGAACTGAAACATCCATATTTTAAAAGTCTCAAGTTTACAAATCTTGGGACTTTTTAGCCTCCATATCACACAAGCCAATTTCTTATAATAATAATAATGATGATACAATATATAGGATATATATTGTTTCTGTTTCACTAAAGAACCCTCATACAGAAGCCAAGCAGCATCCTCTCTAATGTCAAAATCAGTGCTTTTTCTGTGACATTCATGCTCCTCTACGAATGAAAACCTGGCTCACATTTTATGCTAATACTAAGGAGTAAAAAAACATCCATTACTTATTGTATACCATAAAGCATGTTTTCACATGCACCACCTCAATTGTTGTGAAGCTTTTATTGTATTTAGAACTGCTTTTTTACTCACATCTTCATTCACCAAAATGTTAAAGAAATAGAAACATCACTGTACTGGTTGAAGCAGAAGGATTGCAGGCGAGGCACTGTCTGCCCTCAAACCCCTTCTGCAATTCCAGAGCCCCACAGAACATATCTTGAAGAAACGGTAAACATTTCAACTGGTCTTTCACACTTCTGAGGATATGAATGACAGGGATTTTTTCTCTACTTGATATAGGAAGAAAATTCTGTGGGTTTAAGCGAATCACTCATGGTGAAGTATGTTTTCAGCAAAGCCTAAATAGCAGTGTCCTGATCTGAGGTACTAGAATTCTGGCTTCATCATTTCCTCAATGATTATTTCTAAAGAAGTTGGTTCTTTCCAGTTAGCATGCTCATACAAGTCACTTATGAGCATCCCCAAACTGTTCAACATCTCAGATAGCCTAACGAATCCATAACAATTATATTGACTCTATCTATCTGAAATACAAATGATAAAGAAATAGTTTATGTTTCATATTGATAGCAAGATCATTATGTGAAAGCTAATGGAGTCTAATGGTTAAAAGAATTTTAACTGTATGAGTTAGACAACTTTCGTTCCCTCCCCTGCTTAGATTACTTCTCTGAAAATGAGGATGATTATGCTATCTCATGGATTTTCTGTGACAATTGAAGGAACATACATAGTAGTATCTGTACTACGATTAGAGATAATTATATTAGCTACCTGTAGACATGTAAATTCTTCATAAGGTAAATATTTGTAATTTTCAGATCACGAATTGGATCTATTGAAAACATAGTTAGCAAATCAATGGCAGGTTGCCTCAATGAAGAGCAAAATGTTTTGTATAATACAGCAGAATAGAATTTCAATTTATTTTCAATAAGACCAAGTTCTACTAGCACAATGAAGTATTGAATGCCAAATTATCTCATTCAGACAAAAGTGAAATGTCCGAAGCTTAATAAAATAAGATAATTGGTTTTGGCTTTTATATTAAATTACTATTTGGCTACACACTGTAGTTTCAGAGCAGATGCCCTGCAGGTGAATGGAGCTATAGATGAGGTTACACATAAACCATATGTCCCCTTTATAAGTCTCCTTGTACTGTCTGTGGTTCATTGCTTTCCAGAACATAATGAAGACCAAGTGCTTATAGTATAGAAAGCGAGTCAATCAGAAAGCATAGAAGCAAGAATGGGGTCTCCTCGTGGTCCAGGTAATGCTTCACCTCGTTATGTAGTGGCGTGCAGTGTAGAGCAGGAAGAAACATCTGTCTGACCCTAGCGGGGTTCTTGACCTCATAACCTGTAGATTTTCATGTCAGGTTCTGAAGATTGATAGGTCACTGGCAGGCTCCATGTGCTTTTAAAAAAAAAATGCACTAACAAAAGAGGATCCCCGTTGAGTTTTTAGTTAACTCATTAACTAGTTTAAGCACCTAGGCTGACCCCCTACAGATAATTGTTGTGTTCTCTGTACTGGGTCATATCTCACACAGTTAGAAAATATCCCTTTTTTACCTGAGTATTAAAGGTACTTCGAACCAGGCTCTCAAATAACAGATATTATGCTAAAAAGAAAATGAATCTGTAAATCAAAATGTCAGGGTTTTAATTCTTCTTCTGCCATTAAACCCTGTGAGTCCCTATTGATATTTAGCTATTCCAGGTCTTAGTAAACTCACCATGAAGCTGAAACCATTGAAATCCCCATTTAAACAAATAAGGAAACCAAAGTTCAAAGAGTTGAGATATTTCGTGGAAGATCACACAGCTAGTAAGCCACAGGGTCAAGTTTAAACCAGATGTGTTAGCACCACCGCCCACATTCTTGGACCTGCCCTTACATCTCCTACTGTACTGAGTGCTTATCAAAATCATTCTGAACAAGTGTCAATGCAAATTGCTGGTTTTCACAGAACACAATCTCCTCTTACATTAACTCCGTGGTCTCAAGCCAATCATTACAACTTTTCTGAGCCTCTGTTTCCTTATCTGTAAAATGTAAATGAGATGATAACAGTAGTTAAGTCATAGCTTTATTTTAAGGACTCAATGGATTATTATTTTTAAAGTGCTTAGAACTTTAAATAAACATTGGCTATAATTATTATTATTATTTCCTGAGGCTACCTAGTGACTTAAAGCAGCAATTAGTATGGACCCAGTATCAGTTGACAGACACAAGTGTCATTCACATTCAAGCAAACAGATTAATAAAGGTAAATATCACAACTAAATGCTACATTTAAAACACTGCTGTTTATGGTACTAGCAAAAGACAGTTGAGTTGAGGCTGTGGCATAATCTCTCAATGTTGGAAAGGCAATAGAATCACCTAGGAGCTTTAAAAAATGTCCATGCCAAGTCCCATTTGAGACCAATTAAAATAGAATCTCTGGGTGTGGAATCTGCATATCCTTACATTTTTAAATCACTCCCACACCAGTTGATTTGGAGTTAGGAAGGGGCCAGTTTATGAAGGATTTTGAATTCCAGGAAGAATTAGTATTTGGTTAGGGGAGTGAGGCTAGAAAATATTAGTCAGAGATTCTGCACAGGGCTACTATACACTTATTTATAAATCTTTTCACCTTTCAGGGATGGTTTTGCTGTCGTCCTTTGGTTCAGAATAAAGAAGCTCTTAGTTTCCTCTATTTCTTAAAGTTGATCTAAACACACTCCCTCCGACTTGGTTGTTCCATAATAAAATTGTCATCTCACTGGAAGCCATCCTAATCCTATTTAGAGAAAGACCATTTTCCTCCTGACCTGAAGTCTCACTTTTTATCTTGCTGGCTGGGTGTTCAAAAAGTGCATTCAAACTGTTTAAAATCCTGCGAGTTAAGATGACCCTGATATTGTCAGGTAAAAATAAAAAGGAGAAGACACCAGAATGTAATTTGCTTATCCTCAATGTAGCTTTATTTCTTCCAGTTTTAAGCATGACTTTAAATTTCTTTTTGTGGTAGTGAGGACCAGGACTGTGTGGGAGCTCAGAGATGGGGAATGAAAACTCTAGTCATTGAGCCATAACATATCCTCTCTCTGAGCAGTAACTCCTAACAAAAATCACCTTTTGGGTGATTTAAGCATTTTTTTTTTTTTTTTTTTTTTGCAAGAGAGTTACCCATGTCCAACCTGGTGAGTGAATTGTCCAGTAGACTGGGATTGTTAATCAATTGGAGAACCATTTTAAGATCCAAGTGTTTACAGTCTATAGCCCATTAAAGTCTGCTCTATGTATGTAGTCTTTGTCGCTCCCCAACTGCTAAGTTGTGTTAGTTTTAAGTTGTTTACTTAACTCGGGCCTTTGTTCTATCAGGAATGATATAAAAACAAAGGAACATGAGATGAAGAGAACAGTGCCTACCCTCAAAGAGGTCATAATCCATTTGTGCATATTTGGGAGGAAGACAAAGTAAGAAACTTCCAAATGCATTGCTGTATGATAAGTACCAGTAGTGGAGCGGGTGGAACACATTGCAACAGCCCCTACCTGATCCTAGGTCAATAGAGAAAGACTTACTCAAAGAGGTGGCCTGAGTTGAGTCTTGCAGGGCTTCTCTATGAGAAAAGGGAAAAACACAGCCTGTGGAAAGGCCAGGAGAGGCAAGAAAACAAGGCTTTTCTTCAGAGGTGCAATGTCAAGGGGTGCTATGAGTGAGTCAGAGAAGAGATCGGTGAATATAACATCATGGGCATTAAATGTGAGAGGCAAGCGTTCATCCTTTATTCTGAAGGTGACTTGAAAATAATTTTGGCTTTTAAGTAGGAGAGCAACATAGTTTGGTTATTATTTTAGGTGGGAAGGAAGGCACTTCGGATTGCTACATTTAGAATCACATGGGGATGTCAGAGGAAAATGTCAGGTTATTGAAGGAATTCACGTTATATTATATAAGGAACAGATTATAGAACTGGTGCAGATTTTAATCTGGGGGGATAAGACCAACGTAGAATACCTGATGCCACGTGAAAGAGGAAGAAACATTTTTATTCGAAATTTTTGGAAACCGAAAGACCTATTAATTATTGGTGCTGTATTTCAGTTCAACATAACTATATTGCCTCTGGGTGTTCAGAGTTGTTTCAAGATGGGATGTTTTGCCTTTTGCATCTGATTGATCTCTGGTTGATGTCGTAAGTGCACATATCCAGTGGATACTGGGTTGGGTCTATTTAAGTTCTTTGCAAAGACTGTATACCCACGTGGATAGCTTTGGTCACCATATGCAGCCACTAGAAAGTGTGCTGACGAAACAAACCAGTTAAAGGTCACTAGTGGAGCAAGCTTCCTCAAGGGCTGAAATGGAAGTTCAGATAATGAGAACTCTTTGTACTCGTTGTAGACACATTCTTTCAATTAGAAGCAAATAACAAAGTTAAGGTCCTTAAAAATCTGTGGCCTTCACCTTATAAGCAAAACGATATGATTCAAAAGAGTTCATTGGATCCTCCCTGCAAGGGATCTTATATCACTTTTTTTTTGCATAAGCTATCATGATTTATAGGGCACAGGCTCATCTTTACAATTATATTACTGAACATCTTCTTTTTTTTTTTTAGTTTCCAGAAACCTGGAGGTAAAATATAGCTCATAAAATGCTACATGTTAATAAAAAGGATATTTTGAACTGGAACAAAACATAGAATAGTTATGTGTGCTTCATTTATACAAATACTTATGTGTATAATATGTTGTCACATAGAATATGACTTTAACATATTATCCTTCACACTATAATACTGTAGAGATGATAGTCTATGAGTAATGAAAATATTTATGGGGACTCTTAGAAAAATAAGAGAAAGGAAGGTTTGTAAATATCTGTTCTTTCAGTTTAACATGCATTTCAGTGACAAATATGAACCAGTTTTCTGGTCCAGCTGAACTGAGATCTAGAACCTTTTACTTGACATTTCATTTGACATTTTGAATTAATTTGCCTTTGCAGCCATGGAACCAGAATAAAATTACTTGTTGTTGATTGATAATCTTAGAGAACTGTGCCTGGAATCTATGAGGTTGAACCATACAAAGTTACTGATATTTAAACATTTTAACCTAAGAATTGGCAATTTCTATGGTTTACCCTAAGGGAAGCCTTTGTTTCAGTCTTTGTTGTACCACAGAGACTTGAAAATTAAATAATTTATTCAACTTTTTAGAACCTAAATTTTTCTCATCCTGTTAAATGTGGACAATAGCAGCAATCTTTTAGAGGTGTGTGGATTAAATGAGACACTGGGTGGGAAAACATATTGAAAATTGTGAAGTAATTTGAATTGCATTTAGAATCCTCAAAAACCCCAGTGAGATTGTTGGGTTTATAAACTTTCACTCCCTGCTGGTTAAGTGATTGCTTGGTTAGAATACACAGGGGTTTATGTGTTTATATTTCTTTCTGAATATGATCTGACTTTCCTATTTATTGTTTATTCTGAAAGCTGTTTTCTTCCATCCTTGGATTTACAGTACAGATTTCTTCTGAATGGGTAGAATATTCATACATTTCATTAACAATATTTACTCAGGCTTTCTGGTTCATTCATCCAGTGAAATACTCAGCAGAAAATGTGCTTGAGGATTTTCCCCCACCATTGGGGAGGTGAAATTAATTCTATTGTAATTTCCAGGAGCTTTAAGCATTTGTTTTGTTTAGGAGTAAAACAGCTGTGCTGGCAAAGCTTTTCTTATTGTTAATGTGCTTTGGCCATTTATATCTGGATGATACATTTTACAAGCATTGATCAGACAGTACTTTCAACAACTGTTTTATGGACCAACCTCCAGTGAGGTCTTTTCAACCTTCAGTTTCTCTCCCTTTCAAATCTGTTGTCCAACTTACCAGCAGAGTTTTACTTCTAATCACAAATGGGATTGTAATATCCCTTATTTTAAAAGAATCTTGCATGACTCCCCTGTGTGTAAAGGCTAAAATTCTCAATACATGGTCTAGTGTACAAGAACTTCTTAAAATAGTACTTAACAACAAACTGTCTGTAGCTTTTACTCTCCCTTCTTCTGAATCCAACTTACTAAACTCTTCACCATTCTCTAAATATTCTATCATAATGTTATTTTCTCTCTGCCTATGCACAACCTGGTCCTCTACCTAGAATGACTTCTGTCTTCTTTGAGTAGTAAAATCATCCTTATAGGACAGCTCAAATGCCATCTCTCTATGAAATCCTTTGCTCTTCCCCAAGGCAATTCATCATTTATTCCCCTTAGAACTGTGCACAATCTTTTTATGGTGATAATCGTTTTACTTATCTGTTTCTCTTTCTTCAGTTTGTGACCTCTTGTAAAGCAAGGACTCTTACTTACTCATGTTTGCTTCCCTAGGGCATAGTTGCTCAGCGAACATTTTTTAAAGGATAAATGAAAAATAAAGGATAAATGAATCCTGCTGGCACTGCCTAAATGACTCACAATGAAAATTCACAATTACTCAGTGAATGTCCAAATGTCTGAAGCTCTTAGAGAAGAAAATTACCGAAGAGTTTTCAAGAGAGAATGAGTTTCAGATATATGATTCCGTACACCCTGGCAAAATGTGAAGGGGTATACATAGGGTCTACTTCCCCAAATCTGGCCATAAATAGAGAGAACATGGAGATGATTTGTTTTGGTGTCTGGGAATAGCATCTGGCATTTGAGCTGATCACTGGCTTAATGAGATGCTGTAGATGTTTGGTGTTATATTCAGATCACAGAAAGCAAATCTTTAACTGTGGTCGCCCTCAGGGAGAATACATCTGCATTAGTTGGTTCATTGCATAGGATATTTTTTGAGAGGGACAATGTTGATTTACAGTTGGCCCATAATGAGGAACCAAAAAGATGAGGGGTAGACATGACATCATTAAAGTAAAAGAAATTGAGATAATTAGATAAACGTGAAGAATGAAAGAGCTTCCATGTATTCACATTTGGGCCACATACGTGAAGAGTTGACACGTGAAAAGACAGTGGAATGCATGTCCCATTGTGCCAAAAGGAAAGGACACTCTACAAGGAAGGCATCTTGTTTCTGTGTTACAGGGAGACAGGCTTCCTTAGCAAGTTAGCAAGTGAAACTGCCACATAAAATGGTGAGTTTTCTTGCCCTCTAAGCAGGAGGTGAACAATCATTTGTATTGCATTTATAGTAGTAGGGAGTAGACTAAACCAATGTTTCACAAACATTATTATATATATGAACAACTGAGAATTTGGGTTAAATGCAGATTCTTTTTCAGAAGATCTGGGGTGGAACCTGTGATTCTTCAGTTCTAACATATTCCTAGGTAAAGCTGATACTGCTGCTCAGTGGTTCATACTCTGAGTAATGATGCGCTGGATAACAGGGAAATGTCGTAGCATGTCATAATTGTTAGGAACATAAATTTCAAAATCAGAAAGCCCTGATTTGAGTTTTAATCAGATGTAACTTTGGGAAAGGTGCTTACCTTTCTGAAATTTAATTTCCTCATCTATAAAATAGGAATTGCTATTGCCTCTTTCATATTGTCTTGGACCAGATTAATGAGAAGATGTTTGTGTGTAGAACATTTGATGTCATGCTCAGCACATACTAAGCTCCTCAATAATGTTAGTGATTATATTTTAGGTTTAACAACATAGTGCCTTTCATTTCTATGATTATATTATTCTGATTTACTTCCAAATGTGTCAGAATAATAAGAAGACAAAAGCTACCCATGAAAATTAATTAAAGTGAATTTCGTCATTCTGATCATATGTTTAATAAAACTATAGCCAACATCAGCCCAGTGCAAAATTATTTTTTCTGAAGAGTAACTATACCTATTTGAAGGTTCAACTAAAATATCACCTATTTTTCTATTTTATACCTTCCTGATAATAACCAGGGGATTATCACTCAGCTTTTTGGCCCCTCTGTTGTACCTGCTGCAGGCATATATTACAGCATTCCTCATAGAACTATGCAAACAACTGCCTGAGAGCAAGTACATCTCCTCCTCTGAACTGGGAATGCATTACATTTATGGACTAAGTCTTATACACATAATGTCCCTACATTTATATCTAACATGTAGTTTGGTCAATAATGGGTCCTCTACTATAATGGATGAGCAAAAAACATAGATGAATAGCTTAATGGATTAATGACATGGGAAAAGTCAGTTGTTGGTGCTCACATTTTCCTTTCAAAAACTTCCTGCCCTGTCATGACATTTTCTGCCTCATTGGGATGGGGTTTTGCCCCAAGATACTGTGATGATAGCTTCCATTAAGATGTTTGTAACAAAAAATATAATACTTGTCTTCTCTTTGAGGAAATTGTATTTTAACCAGGGTTATTAGGAGATATGTAGATATGTGAAGATATATTATTATGTAAAAACAACTAGAAGCTGAGATATGATATGGATATTTGAAGGGAATTATAGGCCATTTCAAATTCTTTTCAAATGATAAGTATGCAACTCTGTTCATGAGGTCAGTTTTCCATCATTTCAAGAGTAAAAATTAGGAATAAGGAAATTGCTCTGTTTGTGCTTTTGCTCTCCCTTTATGGAGAGGCACTTCCTTTTTTGACACCAACAAGAGACATTCCATCCACTCAGCCAAGAGCATCATGCAGAGTATGCATCATTTGAGGAAATTCAAATGGCTGGGAAGTCAAGACCTCTAGATTCTAAAGAATCTTACAGATCATCTTCTCCATTCTTCTGTTTCTAGAGACAAGAGCTGTGTTGAAATGCAGGGCAGCCTCATGTTTATATCATCTTTGTGGACTAAAATAATTTGTTTACAACTCTTTTTTTTTTTCAAATACTTTCAAATAGTACAAAGGAAAGAGAGGCCAGGCATGGTACGACCCTTGCCCTGCTGACAATGGCAGCTACTAGAATTGCAAGTAGAGTAAATAGAAAAATCTCTGTAATTCCCCTTGAAACAAACTAACAAGAGTGGAAAAAATTATTGTTTATTTTATAATATTGATAATTGTTATACTATTAATAATAGTAGCTGCTATTTATTTAGTGCTTGCAATATGTTAGACATTGTACTAACATCTAAATGCATTATCTTTTTTTTTTTTTTAAGATGGAATCTCACTCTGTCACCAGGCTGGAGTGCAGTGGCGTGATCCCGGCACACTGCAATCTCTGCCTCCCAGGTTCAAGCAATTCCCCTGCCTCAGCCTCCCAAGTAGCTGAGACTACAGGTGCACATCACCATGCCCGGCTAATTTTTTTGTATTTTAGTAGAGATGGGGTTTCACCGTGTTGGCCAGGATGGTCTCGATCTCCTGACCTCATGATCTGCCCGCCTAGGCCTTCCAAAGTGCTTGAATTCCAGGCGTGAACCACTGCGCCCAGCCTTTGGTTTGTTTTTTAATCTCTATGAAACATCTGAGAATGAAGTGCTATTATCCAATTTTAGACAATAGGAAAGTCTTCTTAGAGGTTAAATAATGTAGACAATATCAGATCTCTGTACATGCAAAGTCATGTTTTCCACCACAGAGCTCTATGCCTCGGTACCCACAGAAGCATTGTAATTTCCATTTCAAAAACGGCACCATCGCTTGTTCAAAATCTTTAAGATTATAGAAAGGTACACAAGAGATGGACTTTCCAGATAGAATGTTTATCTTTTTGGATCATAAAGATTAACAGCAATAGTGTTTTTAAAATCTTCTTAAGCAAGTGCCTTGGAGGTACAATAAGCACAATTCCTTGAATGTCCCTCTGAAGCTGCTCATGGAGTTTCACTCTCTATATTGGCCACTAAAATCTTTAAATAGCCCTATCTGTGCTTTGTGGCTTTCATTACAATGTTCCTCCTAGCGTCTGTAGTCAGAGGCTATGGGAAACATGTGGCTGGATATAAAGTTAACCCTAGCATGAGGCACTCAGAGTCAGCAGAGACCAGTATTAGGGCATGCAATAGTCATCTCTTCTGCAGGCTTGCTTAAGATCTTTAGGTTTTCCCCATCCTTGAATTGAGGAATTTCGAACTTGTGAAATTCTCTTTTTGTTTTTTTTTGTTCAGTAAAGCTGAGCCCACCTAGAGGGTCTGGCAGACCCATTGCTCAAGTCTGTAACTGAAATTGGATGGCCTTACTTCATATTCAATTGGAATATTTTTCTTCTTATTTCTCTTTTTAAAAATCAATAAATGCTTTATGATGCCTTTAAAAGAGATTGAATGAGTGGAAATCAGGTTTTTCCATCGTATTGTGGCAACTAAACACTCTGGAATAGATCCAATTTCAAATATCCTATCTTGTCCCCCATTTGTATATTAAGTCAATATTTGCTGACTTTTTATTAGAGAGATATGCTTTCCTCAGAGAGCAGAAAAGGAAAGGAAGCCTTTTGATCATCAACACTTTTGGCCAGGAATTAGACTTGGGGACACACACACACACACACACACACACATATACACATAAGTATGTACTTGTGTACATATGTATACATATGTGGATACGTGTGTGTGTGTGTGTGTTTTGTCCTTATCATGCTCCCATTACAACAGTGGAAAAATTGAAGCCTACAAATTTCTCTTGGCTATACTGCTTTTAAATAGCTGTGATAGAGTTCCAACCTGATAGTCTGTCTTTAAAGCCTGTGGTCATTTTTCTTAATCTTCCTATGTCCTCAAACTTATTTTTTAAAGGTAAATTCTTCCATCTTCATCCAAACCTATTTCTCTTGAGAACATACCCCAGGCTCCTGGTCATCTGGCTACAGATGCCAGGTAAAGGGGTAAGTTGCCCTGTCCTGAGCCTTCTATCTATTCTATCCAGCTTCCTGTCTGTCTTGTCTTGTCCTAACTCCTTAATTCTTGCTCCTGGGAGGTGTGAATCAAACACCATACACCTGAACTGGTGCCTGCCTGAAGAGCCATGATTGATTACCATGTACTAATTACTTGGAAGGATTGGGAGTGGGTACGAGAATAAAGATGATCACAGAACAGTTAAAAAGAGATTTGTTTCTCTTTTTGCTGCTCCCCTGTCATTTGCAAATGTCTGTTGGTTTTCTTTCAGCATATTTGTGATTAAGAATCCTGCTGAGATGACACTTGGTGATTTGAAAAGCCAAGTGTTTCTGCATTTCCGCAGGTAATTTAGCGATGCATCCATGGGAAGCCCATCCACACATTACAAGAGCAAAGCTCTCCATAACCTTTTAAAAAGTCTGTAACAATTGACATAAAAACACTAAGGTGAAATTTTCTAGTGAGAACGTAATTGATGAAATACTATTAAGATTTTCATTAATAAATCCTTTGACTATCAGGTTTTCACGTTATCTTGCTGCTTCTCTTAAACACATGCAGCAACACCATTCTGATGATAGTTAATAACCAAAAAAGTAAACATAGCTTTTAGGTAATTTATGTGGCAGACATGCCCATCAGGTATCATTACTGGAATCTTTCTATGTATGAGTCAGGGCCAGGGGAGAGTTGAAATTAAATCTTTCTAAGGAAAATAACCTACACAGGTTTGCAAGATTCAAAATTATAAGAGTGACCCCTAGTGACTATGAAACTGCTTAAATCTTTCCTGAATCTCAGTATAGTGTTCAATGTGAACATCTGAAGAAAGAGAATATCTTTTTTAAAGCACAAAAAACTTATTCATTTTGAATTTAGTAGTTATGTTTTGAAAATAGTAGGAATGGACTATCCCTCAAACCATTGTTTTTTTGGGTTTTTTTCTCCAGTAAAATACGTATGTGCTTTACTATTCCTTCTTTGGTTTACATCAAAGAGCCTGCATTGTGAACCTACTGCGTGCAAAGTGCCCGGAAACTTTTGAGGATGGGAAGATTAAGGTCTCCTCATGGTTTCTCCGGTGCCTGCAGACTCAGGAGGAAAGAGATAAGCAAACAGGAGTCTTGCAGGACAGTGAGGGGCGAAGGGATAAGTGAGACAACAGAGTGTAATAACAGGGGCCCTAAGAACAGAATCATTTGTATAACGGTTACATGGTCATTCCTATAGAGGACAGATTAGAGTAAGAATTTACCCAATGGAAAGTAACAGGGGGTGGCTCTACCTAGGCACAAATAAATGAAACAACATATTTTTGTGTAAGAATCACGAGTAGGCTGGGCGCCGTGGCTCACACCTGTAATTCCAGCACTTTAGGAGGCCGAGGCAGGCGGATCACTTGAGGTCAGGAGTTTGAGACCAGCCTGGCCAACGTGGTGAAACCCTGTCTCTACTAAAAATACAAAAATTAGCCAGGTGTGGTGGCAGGTGCCTGTAGTTCCAGCTACCTGGGAGGCTGAGGCAGGAGAATGGCTTGAACCAGGGAGGTGGAGGTTGCAGTGAGCCGAGATCGTGCCATTGCACTCCAGCCTGGGAGACAGAGCAAGACTCCGTCTCAACAACAACAGCAACAACAATAACAAAAACAAAAAAGAATCACAAGTATTTCAGCAGGGATAGAGAGGTGAGCTATCAAGATGTACAAGATGGAGCTTGAGACATAAGCATGAGATAGCTCAGAACAGTCTTTGTACACTGCTGTTGGCCCTTCTGCTGAAGGCAATAGGACTAGGTTTAAGCAAGAAACTAAGGTACACTGATTAGCATTTTGGAAGAACTGTCTGGCTTCTAGGCAGAAGGTGGTGTCAGAGCAACCAAGACTAGTTGCAGAGAGATCACATAGGAGGACTCCAGCATTTTCACTGTTGGAAATGTAAGGCTTCTCTTTCTTCACCTAGATCATAGATATCTGGGCCTTGTGCTTTATACTTCATTCAAATTTGTATTATCAGTAGACATAATAGGTTTTGAAAAATGCATATTGAATAAAAATTAGCATTAATTTTACTCTGAGTTAAATTACATTGCCATATCTATGTGTTCATGTATAAATGTGTTAAATATACATATTTATATATGTATATATGTCTATAAATTACAAACACTCATATACTTTGATAATACATGTTAATGAAAAAGCATGTATTTTGGTTGTGTAGAAGTAGAAACATTAATTCAGATATAATAACTATATAAACCACATCATGTTTTATTTTAGAATCAAACCTTTTAAATCTTCATTACATAAAGACTTTCAGTCAGGCACCATGGTGTGCATTTATGGTTCCAGCTATTTGGGAAGAGGCTTGAACCCAGGAGTTTGAAGCTGCAGTGTGCTATGATCATGCCTGTGAACAGCCACTGAACTCCAGCCTGAGCAGCATAGCAAGACCCTACCTCAAATTTATGTATATAATGAACCAGAAAGTACCTGTATTATTGATATTAAATGAACCAGAATGTACCTATATTAAGTGAATTATTATATTAAATGAACCAGAATGTACCTGTATTATTGATATAATAAATCAAATATATATATTTATTACATATATTAAGTATATAAATATATATTAAATATATATATATATATTATTAGATGGATCAGAAAGTACCTGAAGAAGGTTTTGTATCCCTAGTTTTTTCAGATATGATGTCAGAAATCCAAACATGGAACTACAAACCTTGTATTGATGATTGAATTCTCACCTTTCTGATACATCAAAACATTTACTTCAACATCTTACTACCTTAGTTTGCTAGGGCTGCCATAAGCAAATGCCACACACTGAATGGCTTAAACAACAGAAATTTATTATCTCACATTTCTGGAGGCTGGAAGTCCAAGATCAAAGTGTTGGCAGGTTTGGTTTTTCCTGAGGCCTCACTCCCTTGGCTTGCAGATGGCCACCTTCTTGCAGTTTCCCCACACAGCCTTTTCTTTGTGCTTCCCTGATACCTTTTCCTCTTCCTATAAGGATACCAGACATATTAGATTAGGGCCTTAACTAATCTGTCCTCTGACCTCAACCTCCAAATATACAGTCACATTGGGAATTAGAGTTTTGACATGTGAATTTTGGGGCAACACAATTCATTCCATAACTGTTATAAATTTCCCTGATCAGGAAGTGATGAAGAAGAGAACTCTTCTTCTAGAGTTATACTTTAAGGAAACATCTTGAACACAATCAGAAACTAGACTTTTGGCAACAGGAAAAGCAATAGCATTGGAAACTGTAGTGGAGGCTGTGGTGTGTTACCCTATTGTCCCCTTTAAAACTAGGGCATTCATTCCTCTAGCTGCTGGAAGTGTTGCCTGCTGAGAAAGCTCAAGGCTAGGTTGCTTTCCAGAATTTCCCAAAGCCAAAATCAGTTTCTTTGTCCAATGCTAGGTAGCAGTACAAATCCAAAGATGCACCAATATAGGCTTCCAAAGCCTAGCCCCTAAGCTTCTGCATGGATGTGACAACTCAGAAGTGGCATCCAAAGTCCAGACCTTCTTGTGTTGATGGCTAAATCCTTCATTGAGACTGCATTTCAGCCCATCTTCTACCTCTGCCCAATTCTGCTTTCCACCTTCTCTTCCACAGAGTGGAACAGAGAGCACTGAACACAAATCTGTTTTATTATTCCCAAGAAATCTAATTATATATATGCCAAACATTGGAATGATGAATAACACTAAAATAATCCATTTTAATGACATCAATCTGTGGAAATAGAGGACATAATTTATATCCATATTGTTTTTAAATTATTGATTATTCCTTACTAAATTTGTTTGGTATTACATTGCACCATGATATAAGCATCATGGGGACAGAAATGTTACGAAATTGGTTCTTAGAAGCATTCATAGCATCAAATAATATACCTGAAATATTGGGCATACCAATAAAGCTTAAAATTATAGCTTATTGCATATTCCTTAGAAAGCAGATAAAAATCTTAGTATAGTTTTGCATGTACAATTATTGTATATCCATCAAAGACTGGGTCAAAAGCTACTTCATAATGTTTGCATTGATTTACCCCAGGTAAAAGAATCAGTCCTCACTGAGTTCTCTGCTGCTCCTTTGCAATGTCTGTTCCTTCCTGCCATCTATTACAGTTATTTAGCTCTCTTTGTTACATTTTTTTATTAATCAGCAAACCATGAAGTTGAATGAAGGAAATTGCATCCATTCTCCATGATGGCTGAAGAAGGTGTGGAGGAGGGAAGCCACATGTGGATGGAAGCTTTTTGAAGCATAAACATTTGGATACACTCTAAGATTTGGAACAATCTTCACCATGACCAGGAAATCATTTATATTGCAGTATCCCCTACTGTGCCTAAAAATGTGATGTGTTCACTTTGTCTTACAATTGATTTCTAATGACTTCAAACTTATATATCTTCTTTGTGTCTTAAAGTAAATTTCAAATAATGGAATGTCAAGCATCAGAATAGAGGGGTAGAGATGTACAAGTATTGCAGTTATGTCCTTGATACTGATTTAAGTAAGCACTACCTACCTCTATTCTAACATTGTTGTAGATTATGAACCCTGGTAAATTTTATAGCTGCCACCTTTGTCTGCCTGATCCTATACGCTTAAATCTGTCCAGTCCACCTATGTATGAAGTGGGAGGAAGAAAACCAGTACAAACTAAACTTACATCTCCAGCATTACATCAGGAAGTTCCAGACCCCCTCAATATCTCCTGAATAGGTTATGCTCTCATTCAGTTCTGCGGCATAACAAATTCTTGAGCTCTGAGAGTTCTCTCTCACTTCTAGGACTCATCTTGTTGTGGCATGTAGAATTTAATTCCTGCATCTTAAACATGCTACTTTTTGTAGGACATAGTTGGAGCTCACACTCTTTCTGTTCTTTAGATATTTGAGTCAATGAACTGTTTTCAACAAATATGAATAATGGCTGTTTTTCAGATAGTTTCTGCTTAATTTAGGTTCCCAGAAATAAATACTGAGATGGAGAATTTTGGGCAAGACTTTTTTTTTTTTCCTGGTGAGTGCTGTCTTCAAGATTGTCCTAAGTTGGGATGAGGTGCTTTTTATGCCTTTCCATGAAAAAGTTATTTGAGGTAGGCTGCCTCCACGGGAGAGGATGTGATCTTGGCAAGACAACTGTCTTTATCTGAGGCAATTCTCCAAGATGCTTGACAACTGAGGGCTGTCTGTTGGCAGCATTCCCAGCAGCTGAGGAATAAGTCCTCTTCTGTCTTAAAGTGAGATCTGGACAGTGTTTCATAGGCTCCTATATTTGGTAAGTTCCAAGAACCTTCCAATAGGTAAATATGTCTTAATAATCTAATTTTTGGAAATATATCATAAGAAAAAATTCAGTGTGATGGTCTTCCTGTGAGAATAATATAGTATTTCTCAAAGTGTGATTCTGGAACACCACTACTACTAGGAATATGTTGAATACTGAATAACAATCTCTGGCGATTGGTTCAAGGTCATTATATTAATTAATACCCCCCTAAAACCAAGTGAATCAGAACTTCTAGAGTCTGTGGAAAAGACTGCCGTGTAAGAGGGAGGATTTTCCTGGACTTAAGGCAAAGCCATCTTTACTGGTATGTGTGTTTGGTTGGGGGAAGGGAGGCAGGTGTGTGTATGTGTGTTGAATGAATGGTAAGTATTCATGTTGATAATGTGACACAGGTAGCAATTTAAGTGCAAATGGTATATGAAGGCCTATTTTAATAAAAACAATATTTTGAGGATTTAGGTTATTTTGTTAAAATAGACTTTGAATGAGTGTCGAAAAATTTTTGAAAGAGCAGTAAATTCATTAGAATGTAAGATATTTAGCCATTTCAAGTATCCATAAGCAACCTCAGTTATCCAAAATCATTTGGAAGCCTTTGGATAAATGGGAATTTGGTTAAAATATCTGGTTAGATGGTGGCCAGGAATGAATCACCGGCTAGTGAAACCCATCTAGTAATAACCTGGGATCTACCAAACAAAACTGTTTTGTGCACAGGGACTGCAAGAGACGATATAAATGTTGGCCTTCAAGATAGCCATGATTTTTTTAAATTATCACAATGGATCAAATTCATTGTCATTAATATCTGAGCTCTGTCAGCCCCTTGCCTTCCAGCTCAATGATGATGTCTCAACATTTACATCTCCATCTGCAACATCTTGGCTAATCTCCAGATATATTAATTCAAATTCCTGCTTGAAATCTCTACTTAGATTTCATATAATCCCACCTGAGCATTGACAGAGCCAAAAGCAAACCTTTTATTCTCTACCACATCCTTCCAAATCTGTTTGTTCTCTGGCCTCCCTATGTCATTAAGTAATGCCACCATATTGAAATTGTTCAACTGAAAACTTGGAAAACAATCTCAATCCATGACTCCTTCAGCACCTTCCTAAAGCTAAATGTAGTATAATTGTCTCCAACTGGCCTTCTTTTCACTCTTCTCCCAACTCCAAGCCTATATTTTCTCCCTACAGCAGCCAGAGTCGTTTTTTCATATTATCATTAGGTAGCATTATTTCCCTTTTGAAATATCATCAAAATATTTTCATAATACATTTTATAACATACCAATGACACCTACCATATCGTACACATTCTTACTTGGCATGACCCCTGCTCATTTTTCCAACTCTTTTATCATTCTTTTCCTTGTTTATTCTTCAAAGCACAATGACATTCCTATTAATTCTGGAAAAATAAAAGTGAATTCTTATCTCGGAAATTTTTTCTTGCTGTATTCTTTTTCTGGAATGATCTGCCTCCAGGTCTTCTCCAGGAGGGACTCTGAATATTCCCACATGTACCCAAATATTACCTTTTAGCCAAGCTTTTTCTTAACAATTCAATATAAGTCACCACCTTGTCCATCTTCCCCTAACATATCACCTTTTATTTATGTATTACATTTGTCATTATATTATTTATTAGTGCTTATTAATTTATTAATATTATTCTTAAGATAACTGAAACTCTACAGATAAAGTATCTTGCTTGGCTTATTGGCTACCATGTTTTTAGCTTCAGTCACAGTGTTTGCATATTGCAAACATTCAACAAATATTTTTGAATTAATGAATTGATATCAATCATAATAGCAATTGCTAACTTTATTTAGCACTTAATATGCACCAGTTTTAAGCAATTTAAATGCACTATTTCATTCCATTCTTACATTGGCTTTATGAGGCACCACTATGCTAAAGAAAATTACAATTGTTAAAAAATTACAGCTTTATCCTGGTAGAATTTATATTAATAAACTTATGGGTGGCTTTATTTATCTGTTTATTATATAAGGAAATGAAAGTGTTCACTAATTTTTAATTAATTTCTACATAATTTCAAGGTGGAAAAGAATATAATAAGAGTAGTATATGTGAACTGGGGTATTTTTGTAAAACACTGTCTTAGTCCACTTTGTGTTGCTTATAAAAATACCTGAGACTGGGTAATTTAAACAAACAAAAAAGAGCTTCATGTAGCTCATGGTTCTTTAGGCTGAGAAGTTCAAAGACATAGCCCTGGCTTCCAGCAAGGGCTTTCTTGCTGTATTACAACAAGTGGAGAATGGTGGAGAAAGACAAAAAGGAAGTGGACTCATGTGAACATGAGAAAACATGAGTAGTGTCTTGGCTTTATGAAAGACTCATTCTGGTGGAAACTAATCCATTTCCCCAAGAATAATCCCCCTTCACAAAAGTGAGAACTGACTCATTACTGCTATATCAGCACCAAGTCATTCATAGGGATCTGTACCCCTAACCAGTTACCTCCTAATAGGTCTCACCTCTCAATACCACTGCATGGGGATCACATTTCAATATGGGTTTTAGTGGAGGAAAACAAATCATGTCCAAACCATAGTAAACCCAAACATTTTCCTTGGCAACGTCAAAAATCTACTTACTTAAAGCAAATGAACCAGTGTCTAGAAGTAGAGCATCTTTTAGTTATACAAACATATTATGCTAATGGGGCTTATTCTTTTATTACTATAAAGTATTGTGAAAATGTTCTCAAATTGTTTTGGAAAATAATTCATGGAAAAAATAACAAATTCTCATAGAACTGCATGAAGCAATACTGCTGGAAAACAAAATAAAATGTATGATGGTGTTTTATTGATGGTAACAATATCATCTAGTACTTAGTTGGCAAGATTAATATGTATCTAGGACTTGGAGCTATTAAAACCCATCAAAAGTATCTCATTAGCTGTTAAAGTATTAAGGAAATAGAATTGCAATTATCTAAATCATCAAAACAAGTCTGCTTAAAATTTTATTCTCAGAGGTTTAGTAAAGAAGATATGGCATTTTAAAATAAATAGTCCTCATGACAATTTACTTAAAGTCATCATGTGATTCTTCACCTTGGTCATGTAAAGAAGTATGAGTTACTGCCTCTGAGTTGGCCTGATATGGCAAGACTTTCAAGGTGAGACTATCTAATAAACTCCCTGAGTGTTAGCTAATAATACTTAGTGTCATTCTATCCTTCCATATAAGTTGAATGTGAAGTGCAAGCTATGGATTTGGGAAGATGGGCAGAAGAACTTAAGAGTGTTTTGTAATAACCAGACTTAAAAACTATAATTTAAGATGTTTTGTCGTTGTTGTTGTTGTTTTTGGAGTAGGGACAATAAATTTAGCTTCATAACCAATAGAGTCTGAGATTATGGTCAAGGAGGTTATTATCTGGTTTTGATCTGGGTAACCTCTAGCTTTATTTCTTTTTCTTTATGGTATTTACCATTGAAAAGTTCATATCACAAAAATTAGCCAGGTGTGGTGGTGTGCACCTGTAGTCCCAGCTACTTGGGAGACTGAGGCAAGAGATCACGGAGGTTCTCGGATCACGAAGGTTGCAGTGATCCAAGATCACGCCAAAAAAAAAAAAAGTATTAATTATAGATAAAACTAAATGCTTACTACGTACCTCATTCTCTCAGCCATTCTGTTTGATAAATTTCATGATCAGTAATCTTTAATATAGAAAATAAAGACTCAGATAATTAAGTAAATTCCCAAATAGGTTAAAAAAGCTGAAGTTCAAATTCAGGTCCAGTGTTGATTAGAAAACACTGGGCCCCAATCGATGGTCCTTAGTCTGTTCTTGAACCCTCTCCTTCCATTTCCCTTTATATAAATTCAATGTAAGACTATACAATGATCACCACCATGCCAGACCCCATAGGAGGTAGCAAAGAAAAAAGAATACCTAGCTGGATCTAATTCAATATTTGTGCTGATAATTAAATGTGATTTTTTAAAATGCTAAGCACATTGACTGGGTTTATCAAATCATGGAGTTTATTTTTTCTCCTCCTCCTATTTGATGATGATGGTGATGATAATGATAATGATGACTCTATTTCTGTCTTTAGGAATTTAAATCTAATAAAAGCAACAAATATAAAGACAAATAAAATCATTAGATATTAGAGGTGCTATGAGTACAGGGGATGTGTCTTAGAGTATTTGGTTTAAGAGATATCTTAAGTTTTGAGTATGATTTAGCTTAGCAGTGGAGAAGGAAGTCTCAGCATTAAAACTTTCTTGAACAGAGATGTGAAAGAAATGCTCTCAATCCCAAATCAACTTGAGGCTGAGTAGATAGTGGTAGAAGATCCTCTTCTGGAGATTCTGACCCCTTCTCTTCAATGCAGACCATCAAATCTCCTGAGGTTTATAAAGCTCCAAGCCGAATCCCACTCCATTCAGTAGTGTCAGATTTCCCTTCAAGAGAGGAATAAAAAGGAAAACCTCTGTGGAGTCAAATATATGCATCTCTCTCAAGATACACTTTAGAGCTAAAATGTTCCGCCCCTGATTCAACAGAGAGGCCTGTTGTAGGGCTTTCTAGAAGCAATGGCTCTGTGAATACCTGTTCTGGTTCTTGTAACTTTCTATGTGAAACTTTCTGGCATTGACTGGTTTTAGTCATTTCTATCCCTGCCCTGCCCAACCACAGCGACTTGCAATGATTTTTTTTTTTTCTAGTCACTGATTAGTTCAGCTAGGATGAATCTGATTTTTGCTTAGTTTTGTGCAAATTTCCTCCTGTGAACTGCTGCTGGTCTGTTGGGTCCCTGCCAAGGACACTTCCTCACCTGGAATCTTGTTTAAGGTTTCAGGCAGCAAGTTGGCAGCTGAGATGTTTGTAGTCATAGTAACTCCAGCGGAAGATTAGGGATGCACCTACGTGAAGATGTCTGGCCATGTGAATGTGAAGCTGCCTTTCTCAATTCTTCCTTCTATCCATTCATTCACTGATTCAGCCTCCACCCATTCATTGAGAATCTCCTATATTTCCTACCTTGCATTTGATACAGGAAATGCAGACTTGAACATTACTTAGGTGCTGCCTTTAAAAGAACCATTCATTATTTAATCCCTGAAAAATTTTTTTAGGACTTCTATACGCCAACCCTTCTCTGAGTTCTTGAAATGTAGGGAGGAGATGAATAGGACACAGTGCTTATCCGTATAGTATATGTCATCCAGAAAAACAAAAGAGCAACCACTATGCATAGAGCTCAGTGCCATATACATTATTTTGAATCTACTAAAGTACACAGACATAAAAGCAAACTTCACTGCAGTAAGGGAAGTGTCACATAACTTAATAGTAGTGGATCTCAACCATGTACTATATGGCCCTACCTGGGTACATTTAGTAGTGTCTGGAGCCATGTTTGATTATCAGACCGGAGGAGTGTTACCAGCACTGAGTAGGTAAAAGACAGCAATGCTGCTAAATGCCCTACAGTCTATAGGACAGCCCTCCACAACAAATAGTAATCCAGCCCCATATGTCAATAGTGTCCCGACTGGGCTTCACTCTACAGACAAATGCAGATGGCTACGAGTGAAAAGGAAGGTTTGATTCACCATCTTGAGGGTCAAAAAAAGGCTTTCCAAGAAGAAAGCATTTCAGTTGGCGATTGTGGACTTCACTACACATTAGCATGATTTCTTATGAACCTGAAACCTTATAGAGTAAACACCAAGTGACAGAAAATCCTCTTTGGTTTATTTTCACCAAAATTACTGGGGAATATTTTTTCCAAGTGATTTTGTTAGATATTCCCAACTACTCTGTCATGGATATGGAACAAATAACAAATACTATTTTTCTGTGAAAATTAAAACCCAAAAGGATCATGTTTTGTTTTATACATCCCTCTTAGTCCTAAGTCACCACTGTTCATAAATGACATTGCTAATCAAGTCTGATAATTGCCGAAAATAAGCCATGTTACTCCAGCAACGAAGAGACAGGAGAAATACCAGAAATTCTTCGCAAGGTATACTGATAATGTTCTGTTGAACCACAAGTTGCACTTTTGGGTGATTAAGTATCAGGTTCCTTGGATATTTTTTTAACCTCATTAGAAACCTTCTATTATTTAACAATACCCTAGTTAAATAATCTGACAATACCATGCTGTTTTGTTTACTGTAGGCTTGTAATATAGTTTGAAGTCAGGTAGCGTGATGCCTCCAGCTTTGTTCTTTTTGCTTAGGATTGTCTTGCTTATGTGGTCTCTTTTTTGGTTCCACATGAAATTTAAAGTAGTTTTTTTTTTTAATTCTCAAGAAAGTCAATTGTAGCTTGATGAGGATAGCATTGACTCTATAAATACTTTGGGCAGTATGGCCTTTTTCACCTTTCCTCCTATCCATGAGCATGGAATGTTTTTCCATTTGTTTGTGTCCTCTCTTATTTCCTTGAGCAGTGGTTAGTAGTTCTCCTGAAAGAGGTCCTTCATGTCCCTTGTAAGTTGTATTCCTAGGTATTTTATTCTCTTTGTAGCAATTATGAATTGTGGTGTATAGGAATGCCTGTGGTTTTTGCACATTGATCTTGTATCCTGAGACTTTGCTGAAGTTGCTTATCAGCTTAAGGAGATTTTGGGCTGAGATGATGGGGTTTTCTAAATACACAATCCAAAACAGATATATAGACCAATGGAACAGAACAGAGGCCTCAGAAATAATGCCACACATCTACAACCATCTGATCTTTGACAAACCTGACACGAACAAGCAATGAGGAAAGGATTCCCTATTTAATAAATGGTGTTGGGAAAACTGGCTAGCCATATGCAGGAAGGTGAAACTGGATCACTTCTTTACACCTTATATAAAAATTAACTCAAGATGGATTAAAGACTTGAACATAAGACCTAAAACCTTAAAAACCCTAGAAGAAAACCTAGGCAATACAATTTAGGACATAGGCATGGGCAAAGACTTCATGACTAAAACACCAAAAGCAATGGCAACAAAAGCCAAAATTGACAAATGAGATATAATTAAACTAAAGAGCTCCTGCACAGCAAAACAAACTGTCATGAGTGAACAGGCAACCTACAGAATGGGAGAAAAATGTTGCAATCTGTCCATCTGACAAAGGGCTAATATCAAGAATCCACAATGAACTTTAAACAAATTTACAAGAAAAAAACAAACAACCCCATCAAAAAGTGGGCAAAGGATATAAACAGACACTTCTCAAAAGAAGACATTTATGTGGCCAACAAACATGAAAAAAAGCTCATCATTACTGGTCATCAGAGAAATGCAAATCAAAACCACAATAAGATAACATCTCACCCCAGTTAGAATGGTGATCATTAAAAAGTCAGGAAACAACAGATGCTGGAGAGGATGGGGAGAAATAGGAATGCTTTTAAATTGTTGGTGGGAGTGTAAATTAGTTCAACCATTGTGGAAAACAGTGTGGCGATTCTTCAAGGATCTAGAACTAGAAATACCATTTGACCCAGCAATCCCATTACTGAGTATATACCTAAAAGATTGTAAATCATTCTACTACAAAGACACATGCACATATATGTTTATTGCAGCACTGTTCACAATAGCAAAGACTTGAAACCAACCCAAATGCCCATCAATGATAGACTGAATAAAGAAAATGTGGCACATATACACCACGGAATACTATGCAGCCATAAAAAAGATGAGTTCATGTCCTTTGCAGGGACATGGATGAAGCTGGAAACCATCATCCTCAGCAAACTAACACAGGAACAGAAAACCAAGCACCGCATGTTCTCACTCATAAGTGAAAGTTGAACAATGAGAACACATGGACACTGGGAAGGGAACATCACACAATGGGGACTGTCAAGGGATGAGGGGTTGGGGAGGGATAGCATTAGGAGAAATACCTAATGTAGATGACCGGTTGATGGGTGCAGCAAACCACCATGGCACATGTATATGTGTATGTAATAAACCTATTACATATGTAATAAACCTGCACATTTTGTGCATGTATCCCAGAACTTAAAGTATAATTAAAAAAAAAATAATAATCTGACAAATGGCGTCATTTTGAATGAGGACCATTAACAATGACTATTTAAACCCTTTAGAAGAGCATTGATTTGAGGAACTACCCAAAAAACTACCAAGAAAACATAGAATTGTTCAGAGACCACATTTGGCAGGAAATGGATTAAGGAATGGAGTTCAGCTTCATTAGTTATTTCTCTAATGGACTTCCCACCTTCAGGAAATGCCAGAGTTAATCAGGTAGATAACTCTTCAGATACTTTGCATCACCTAAAGGTTTACTTGAGGCTTATAATCACTTGCCCACTTGACCATTTGTAGCTATTTCCTTTCAAAGCAAGTTACCCATATCTGCTTATTCTACCATCTAAACATTTTTCTAATCTGTTCCTAATTTCTGCTCTCCAGTGCACAGCTGGTTTAGGATATTGACTACCCTATCTTTTATATTCTGTTCCCATATTACATCTAAATTATTCAGCTAACATATTTATCTAAAATCACAAACATAATTGGATTTATTTTGAAAGAAATAATCCAGGAATGAAAAACTACCTCAGGATGGAAAAAGAAGATAAAGTTAAAGTAATTACAATGAAAAACAAAAGGAGTTGTCTAATTCTGCCTGGAAGCCATTATGTAGAGGTCACCTCTAACTGCTGAGAAGGGGATTAGCAAATTTTAGAGAGGTGTTAACAGCCATGATCAAACTGTGACCTTCTCTTCCATGTAATCAGGACTGAAATAGCACTGAAAAAAGGACCTCATCACGTGAATGGTGATAATTTTAACCTATTTTGCACCCTGTAACTCATTCTATGCCTCACCAGTGGTATGGATCCCTCACTTTGAGAAACAGTGATTCAGGCTTGTCATCTTAGCTTGGACCATGGCAAAGCATTTAAATAGGGCTCTGTCTCATTCCCTTCCAAAATGCCCACCACACTAGGCACCCATGTGACTTGAAAAGGCAGATTTCTTTTTTCTTTTAAACCTTTCTCACTTTAAACCATACAGTGGTTTCATTGTACGGTATGTGTCTCCAAAAAGAGTTACTACAAGGAACAGAACTTTAAAATTTTTAAAAAAAATTTCTGAAAGTTGTGTTTTGAGTTACCAAAAGACAATCATGAAAAGATTGAAAGGTGTGGATGTAGTTTCTTTCTTCTATCTTAGCCAATAATAATAACTAATATTTATAATATCAAATTACTCAAAATACTTAAAGACAAAACAGTGTCAGGAACTATTCTAAGTAGTTGTATATATTAACAAGTGAAACAGATCCGAAAACTGGAGTACAGTGAAGTAGTGTCCTGTCCAACATTTCAGACCCTATTAGTGGCAGAGCCAAAGCATTGCTCAAATTGAACACAGGTGGTCTGGCTTCTGAGTCAGTGTTTTCAGTCATCTTTAGAGTAACTCAAAATCTAATATATCTCATTAGAATTTTTGGTTATGTGCACATTTAATAGGTTTACATCCTTTCAGCTTCTTTAGATGAAATGAGGGACACTGATACAGAACACCAATTTTATGCAAACTACAGACAAACAATTTTCTGTCAGTTTGGTTATCAGTGGACCTGAACTGTTGTGTGTGTGTGTGTGTGTGTGTGTGTGTGTGTGTGTGTGTGTGTAAGACAAGAAGGGAAGAGTAGAGAGGAGCTTTGCTAAATTGTATAGAGATAGTATATTATGAGGTGGATTGTAAGATCATTTTCACACATTGGACATTAATTCTATAGAATACCATTGGATTCTTAAACTTTTTATGTAGATTCTTTAAAATGGTCATTTGCAGCTTGTGCTAAGCATAAAAATGGATTACGCATTTTTAGGCCTGTCTTGCAAAGAGGTTATGATATCAACAGTTCCTGTTTCCCATTTTCAGGGCAGAAGTAAATCTAGATTCCTCTTGCAAGACACAGCTTGTCACAAATGCTAGACTAAACATTCAAAAATGAAGGTGAGCTCCAGAGAGAGCACAGAGCTTCCAAAGGCCAATTTGTACACCCTGTCTTGAGAGCTATTTTCTGACAGACAACAAAAGATGCTGTTCTCAAAAGAAGAGCTTATTTATTTGGGTTGTCTGCAGTAAGCTTGTTTGATGTTTCTTTGACTCTTGATCTTTGTTGGAGGAAAAGTGGAAGAGGAAGAGAGACAGAGAAAAAAAAAGTCTATTAAATTGGTAAAGTTCTGGTTCTAATGTTGGAATAAAGAACTCTTTAACCCAGCTGGAAATACAGATCTACCTTGGTTTGCCTTTCTCTAGCTTCCACAGCTGTTTGCTGTGGGCTGTACTCCAGCTCTCCCTGCTGGCTCAGAACCACTTGCTCCTTGGGACAATGCTGGCAGGGGGAGGAAGATATTCAATACTTTAAACTTACTCTCACCCCTTTTATGAATATACAGGGATTAAGATTAAGTTGCTGCCTCCTATGTGGAATCTGGGGAGTCAGTTTTGATTATTAGACGCTGGCTTATTGGAATGGACTGTTGACTACCAGGATAATTTTGAGTCTATAAAATCTTTCTTATTCCATAATCTTAGCCTGGTTAGTAGCACTCTTCTCAATTCTTTATCCCCTTCTTTCCTTCTCTCTCTCTCCTTTCTCATTCTCTCTCTTGTCTATTCATTTAACAAACATTTCTGACAGTTTTTCTACCATTATCTATGAGAATCATAAAGGACTTTCACAGATACATTAAAACACAATTTCCTAATAAAGATGTCATGATATATGGGAAATTATATGGAATATCACTTATTGGTTAGCTGTTGGGATGTCTTTGGAAGATATCTAGGACCTCTTCAGAACTGGAATTAGAAAAGCCACAAAGAGCCCAGGAAATCCTAAATCTTTATTCTCCTCTTCTATGCTTATCTCTAAATCTGTGGTATGTTCTCCTTTGTACAAACTGTTTGTCTTGGTTGCTTCATGTCCAAAACACGTATTTTCTAGGTTAAATTGTTTCTATTATGCAAGTAAAACCAAACTTATTTACAGGCTCCCAGTCATAATTCCAAATTTCCCAGAAAGACAGTCTGATTGTCTCCACTTGCTTGAGATGTAATGCCGATGTTTAAGTGATTTCTTGAAGAAGAGCTTGTCTCTTTTTCAGCCATAATCACTTGCTCTGTCTGGTAGAGATGTCCTCTCCTCTACTTTTGTAGGTCTGTCTTGAAGCCCCATATCATCATCATCATCGCCGTTGCCCTGATTATCTGCTAGAGTCATGTTATGGCACCCCCTGGACTTGATTTCTCTCCCTGGGTGCCAGCAGAATACTTTAACATATAATAAATGTTCAATTAAATTTAGTGGCAGTTTAGTAATGATGACGTTTATGATCAGCAAGAAAAGAAAAAAAATATTCCAGGCCAAATGGCAGTTAATTGAGTCAAATTTATCTCAATTAATTAACTGGATTAATAAGTCTGCTTAGGCAAAATTTATGTCCCTACACGGTAGCCAGATAGGTAAATAGAGATAGCCTTAGAAGAATACATGTTATGTAAACACTCAGTAAATATCAGTTAATATTATTTATCCTCCCATAAAAGTGGCTTGAGGTGTGAAAAGAAACCTGTGTGTGTGCCTCTCTGTGTGTGTATGTATATGTATCGTTTCCCAATACCCTTTCATCTTTTAAAAAAAAATTCCTAAGTCATTTTCCACCATCCCAATTATCCATTTTGAAACATATCTTATTTTTTATGAATTGGTGTTTTGAGGGTACATACATTTCAATATCGATTTTTGAAAATTATTTAATACTGTTAGTGCTGCTGGATGGGATAATGACAAAAGGAGGTCTTTAAAGAAAATGTTTTTTATGGTAAGAAAAATAGAAGCACTGGAAGTTCTAGCCAGAGCAATTATACACACACACACACACACACACACACACACACACACACACACACACTCACACACACGAAGCAATAAAAGAAATAAAGGGCATCCAAACTGGAAAGGAAAGTGAAATTATCCTTGGTGGCAGATAATATGATTTTATATTTAGAAAAACCTAAAGAGTCTACCTAGAAACTATTAGAACTGATAAACAAATTCAGTAAAATTGTGGATATAAAATTCTAATACAAAAATTAGTAGCATTTCTGTATGTCAATAGCAAACAGTCTGAAAAAGAAATGACGAAGGCAATTCCATCTACAATGGCTACAAATAAAATAAAATTCTTAGAATTAAACTTAACCAAAGACGTGAAAAATCTCTACATTTAAAACTGTAAACATTAATAAAAGAAATTGAAGTGGGGACAAGAAATTGAAGTGGGGACAATAAATTGAAAGATATCCCATGTTTATGGATAGGAAGAATTAGTATTGTTAAAATGTCAATATTACCCAAATAAATCTACAGAATCAATGCAATACCTATCAAAATAACAAATATAATTTTTACAGAAATAGAAAAAATATTATAAAATGCACATGGAATCACAAAAGACCCAGAACAGCTCAAGCAATTCTGAGCAAAAAGGACAAAGCTGAAGATATCACATTACCTGATTTCAAATTCTAATACAAAGCTATATTAAACAAAACAACACGTTACTGGCATAAAAACTATACATACAGACCAATGGAAGAAAATAGAAAATCCTGAAGTAAATTCAGGTATTTGCAGTGAATTCATTTTCAACAAAGTTGCCAAGAACATACACTGAGGAAAGGAGGAAAGGACAGTCTCTTCAAAAAATTGTGCTAAGAAAACTGGATATCCAAATGCAGAAAAATGAAACTAGATTCCTATCTCTCACCACATAAGAAATCAAATTGAAATGCATTAAAGACGTAACATAAATCCAAGATGTGAAACTATAAAACTTCTAGAATAAAACATTGGAGAAACACTTCAGGCTATCGGTCTGGGCAAAGATTTCTTGAGTAAGCCTTCAAAAGCACAGGCAACCAAAGTAAAAATGGACAAATGCAACCACATCAAGCTAAAAAGCTTCAGCATAACAGAGGAAACAATCAATGAAGTGAAGAAACAACCCACAAAATGGGAGAAAATATTTACAAACTATCCATCTGACAAAGGATTAACAACCAGAATATATAAGAAGCTCAAACAATGCAGTAGGAAAAAATAATCTGATTAAAAATGGGCAAAAGATCTAAATAGACATTTCTCTATTGCTGCTTTACAAGGGCTGTTTTCTGTCTTCATGTATCTGGGTGGCTATCAAATTCTCTTATGATATTTAAAACTTAGAATATTTACTATAGCCTTTGTGAATATGTCCCAATTCTCACCTACTTGACCCTGAATATGTCTTCTTTAGTTATGCACAAGATTCTTTGCCTTGTGAAAGCTCTTGGACAATACTTTTTTGATCTGCTCTTCGATATTTTAGTTTTTGCCTTTGTGCATTAAGAAGTCTGCAATGTACCTGCAGTACTGTGCTAGGCATAAGGGAAACAGCGGTGAACAAAACAGACATCCAGATACTCCTAGAACATATAAGTTAAGGGACAATATGAACCATAAACAAAAAAAATACAAATCATCAACTTGTTAATACACAAAGATCATCAACTGATCTTTTAAGAGTAAATGCCAGGAAGCTAAAGCTTAAGAAAAGTTGTATATTATACACAAGAGTGTAAAACTTAGCTTGGCCAGTCAAAAAAAAAAAAAAAAAAAAAAGGTGTCCCTCTGGAAATGATGTTTAAGCTGAGACCTCAAGGATAAGTACAAGTTATCCAGTTATTGAAAGAGGAGACAATCAATTTGAGGAGAGAAAAAAATATGCTAACTCTCCTTCATGCATTTTTTTATCTATTCAACAGACATTGATTGAATGCCCAATTGATGCTGAGTACTTTTGGAGACAGTGGAAACTCAGAAGAGAACAAGTTAGGAAATTTTAACTCATTTGGTACTGAAATTCTAGTGAGGAAGGCAGAGTGCACACGTTCTTTTGGAACTTAAATTCTAGTCGGGAAGACAAACACATGAGAAAATGATGCTGTTTCTAGCACTGACCTGTGTAATGAATGAAATTTATGACCGGGCGTGGTGGCTTATGCCCGTAATCCCAGCAGTTTGGGAGGCTGAGGCAGGCAGATCACCTGAGGTCAGGGGTTTGAGACTAGCCTGGCCAACATGGTGAAACCCCATCTCTACTAAAAATACAAAAATTAGCCAGGAGTGGTGGTACACACCGGTAATTCCAGCTACTAGGGAGGCTGAGACGAGGATCACTTGAACCCGGGATGCAGAGGTTGCAGTGAGCTGAGATTGCACCACTGCGCTCCAGCAGCAATATACAATAGGTGGGTCTGGGCAAACATTTCAGAGGAGTTAAGTTTCAGTGGGTGAAAATGAAGTACACATGTGAAACTGAGAGGAGTTCAGTATAGTTGGAGTGAAGAACATCAGGGGCAGAGATGTGCATAATTCATCTGGAAAAGTATGTGAGACCAGATCCTGCAGGAATCTGTGATTTTGAGTATTTTCCAAAGGTCGATGAGCAGCTATTAAAAGGTATTAAACAGGGGCATCGCATGATCTTATTTGCATTTTGTAAAATGAGTAAAAAAGATCATCTGTGGAGCATGGATGCCTGTTAAAATCTCTCCTGAGCTGCTAATATGCATATAAAGACTCGACACTGACTGTCTGTACTATTAAAGCTGAACATGCAGGCAACCAGGTGACTCATTAATCCCATTCCTAGGTACATTACCCAACATAAATGCATGAATATTTGCACCAAAACAGATGTGCAACATTTGATATTTGAAACATTTGAAATTGATAGCAACACTGTTTGTAGTATCTCCAACCTAAAACCAAACCAAATGTTCATCCAAAGTGGATTAAATAATGAATTATGTCATATTCATATAATGGAATACTTTGTAGCAATAAGAATAAACAAATTACTGCTACACACAACATTGAGGACTAGGACAAACAAGACATTAAACAAACGAGCCAAATGTACAAGAATACATACTGCGTGATTTCATTTATATAAATTTTCAATGTAGGCCTTTAGTGTTTGAATTCAGAAACTGGTTGTCTTTGAGGAGGAGAATGGGAATACCTTGGGGAGGTGGCTTCGGGATACTGGTGATGTTCCATTTCTTGATCCAGGGAGAAGTGGTATACATGGGAATTTACATTATGAAGATTCGTTGAGTTGCACAATTGTAATTTTTGCCCTTTCATTGTGTATTTTATAATTCAATTAAAATTTTAATAAAACCAAGAAACCAAAAAAAAAAAAATGTTAAGAATGATGGCCACAGGCCAGGTGTGGATTGATCACATCCCAGACCAGAAGGTATAAGAATAAATAAGTAGATTAAAGTGATACTCTAAGGACATTAAGAGGCTCAATGATTGGTCACTGAGGAATCAGGAGGAGTCAGATAATTGTTAGAATTTTGTGTAAATTTACTCTCTCCCTCTCTTTTGCAAGCTTCTTAAAGGTGTGTCTGTATCTCGTTCCTATTATCCCCACAGCCAAACACTACAATGGATGTGGAATAAATGAGCAACAAATATTGAATTAATAAATAAACATCGCACTTTCTGATGAGGCTGGAGGCTCTCACTTGATAGCAGAGGATAAAGAGAAGAAGAAAAGCAGGTCAGTAAGCTGTAGTGCTCTCAGCTGTTACTTCATCAGAAAAGGAAATAAATATAGAGTTGTTTTGAACAGCAGTATCGATGTTTTCTTAGGTCTAGTGGACACAGCAATGAGTCCTGACACGGGGTGGGAGACCATCTATTGACAGTCGGCACTCATCATAAGCCTTTTAAAGTTTTCTGCGGAAAGCCAAGATGAAGTAAAAATAGCACCGTATTATTCTAGGTCTGACTGATGGGAACAGTTGCATAAAGGTTTCTTGTTAAGCGCGTCAAATGTTACCCTTTGTGTGACTTTGGTTTAGCTTGCTAGTCTGATTAAATTCCATTCACCAGCAGAGGAAGCGATTGGTATTTATATGTCTGAAGCTGCTCTGAGTCTGGCCGTCCTAGACAATGTGGATATTTCTGGAGAGAGAGGGAGAGAAAAGCCAGGGTTTATCCACTTGGTTTATAAATGGTCACCAAGAACAAATAGATATTGTGTAACCTCATGAAGTGCAGTCAGGTTCAGTAGATCTGCCTGCATCTGAGCTGTTTCACATCAGCTTTTTTCTTTTTTTTTTTTCTTTCCTGGATTTATAAAGCTTTTAATAGTCATTTGCCAAAGCATTTTTTTTTTCTTCATGGTAAGTGGATTTTTTTCTACAATATATTAGATGCTTAATCACTTTCTTATAATGGGCATATTTAGAAAAAACTGTTTCTTAAAAAAAAATTGAGGTTCATGACTATAAACAACAACTTCACAGCTTGGACCATGGCTAGGCCAAGGGATTTTGAGTGAGGCTGGCTAAGTTTTCACACCTCTGCACTTACTCTTGTCACAGACATGTGACAGCAGTGAAGGAATTTGGGTTAAGGGCCTGTTTTTCCTTAACCGTAAAATCGTGAGCATACTATCTAACTAACAGTTTTATCAGTATTTCCATCTTGCAATAATGTATATTTAACGCCTAAGATGATTCCTGGCATACAGAGACATAAACATATATGCTACTGACCTTCTCTTTGTCCGTATTTTGATACTGAATTACAGTTAATTTTTATGAGCAGCTTTGTTTTATCTTATACCAAGAGCCCTAATTTATTTTACCCTAGGATAATTATATTTCAATTTCGGTTTTGCTTCCGGTTACTTTCCTCACCATCAACCATCAGTATTATTACTGTGTGTCAGTGGATGCTGGTATTCCCATTTGTTCTTTCTTTATCTGCTGTGAAATCAGGTATCTACATTCACAGAAAGGAAGAGCAGAATCTGAGTTCAGGCCTAAGGGGGCCTTCATGGGTGAGTCCCTGGGCTCTTAGAGTAGCCCTTGGACATCTCTCTTGGCTGCTCAGGGTTCAACTCTTCATCCTTGAGGATTCTTCTTGGATAAGTGAGGTCTTGCTGATACGTGTTGGCAACCCCTCAAGAAGTCACACTTTTGCACATGAAGGATAGAAGCTCATTGTAAAGGTCTATAGAAATGAAGGTTAAATATCCTCAAAATAAGATTATAATGCATTTTATGAGAATAGACATTCTGCTATGCTCATTTAAGGGAGGCACCAATGTTAAGAATAACTACACATTCCTACTCTGATAAAAAGAAAAATAGCTGAAATCAGTTTTATCAATAAGGAAAAAAATTAGTACACATTGCAAGGATCAGAGCAGAGCAATGGGAAAGAAAAGAGCAGATCTATAAGCTGGGCATGCTGACAAGTGCCTGTAATCCCAGCTACTTTGGAGGCTGAGAAGGGAGAATCGCTTGAGCCCAGGAGTTCAAGATCAGCCTGGGAAACATAGCAAGACTCTCTCTCAAACACAACTCTCTCTCTCACACACACACACACACACACACACACACACCAAACACAGATCATCTGAGGCAGTGGGTCTGGAATGAACTGGAATGATCATCTGAAATGCAGATGATCCCACCAGGTAATACCAATGTTTCTGGTTGTGGGGCCACGCTTTGAGAACTGGTTCGGATTCTGGCTGCTCAGCGTGGTTAAGCATGGTGCACAGACCAGTAGCATCGGTGACACCTGGGAGCACTGTTATGCATGCAATCTCAGACCCCCTCTCAGACTTACTGAATCAGAACTTGTGGGCACAGTAAAACTTAAGATTCACCAGTCTGAAAAAAAAAAAAAAAAAAAGCAGACCTGAAAGCAAACAGGCAAATGGTCAACCCACTAGTGGAAGAAAATCAGCTGTAATCAAGGGTTAACATTTGGGCAAATTCATATGGAAATGGAGTTTAAATGATCTTGCATGTCAGGAAATTAAAATGGCAGAGGGGTAATGGGAGTTGTCACAATAATATCTCACAAATGGAGAAATGCTGTTGCCTAGGATGACCAATTGTGCACAAGTTACTTTTCATCCTCTGGCTGTGAACAGAGCTCAAAAAGTATATTCCTGACCTTACTTCCTTCTATAAATTATTGACGCTAATACCTCCCTGTCTGTGGATGCACTGAGAGATAACAAAGCACACACGCAGCTCTATAGCCTCTTTCCTTCATATTCTCAATCTTCAGTGTACGGATGAAGCCACCAACCTGGCAGAGCATCCAGGGAAAGCAATTACTTCATTTATGACACATTTAAATTTGTTGAGTAAACAATTTTGAGTCTTCTATGGGGCCTATTACACTTGAGCCTGAGAAGTACTTATTAATAATTTTTCAGCTAATATTTACTCAAAGCACTCTAAATCAGCATTTCTAAATAAAGCTGAGTCCAAAGGGCAGAGGGCTGGTAGGCAGATGATGAGGAAAGCTGACTCTCAACATTCCTTTAGAAAGTTGAGGTTTATAGAGGGTTGGTTTTGGCAACTCCACCGGAAACTTATGTTTGGATAGCCGTCTAATTCTAAACCAGTTCTGACTTTGCCCAGAATTTGGGTATGAGACAATAAATTAGCCTGATATTGTTGGAAAGAAATCTACTCAGGCTAAGAGTCAGAAAACAAACTTGCTTTTATTAGCTCTGTGACCTTGAATATGGCACTTAGCATTGCAGAGGCTTAGAAGGTAGGAAAGTAGGGGTGGGTGGGGGGAACACTTACTGAGAGCAAAGCACAACAGACTTCTACAACAACGGATATTAACCCTGCTTACTCTGTCTCCATGCACTCAAAGACACATGCAAGAGACACAGAGATGTGTATTAAAATGCAGAGTTTGCTGCAAGCTGTTATCAAATCAACTTGATCGTATCAGCCATGTCTCTAAAGTTATCTGTTTTGATTCTTCTTCAGGAACTACTTTCGGCTGGTAAGCAGATCTTACAGTACAGTAGTTAAGCATATAATGTTTGGAGCCTGACTGATATAGGCACAAATCTCAAGTCCACAACTATGTGAACGTTGGTAAGTTGCTAAACATTGTTAAGCCATTGTTTCCACATCTGTAAAATGGAAAAAAAATAATTGTTCCTACCTCAATGCTGTATATGCTGAATGAGAGGGAGAATGTATAAAAGCTCTTACCATAGCATAATACAGAACCTAACACAAACTTAGCCTCAATCAATTCTAAATATTTTGACCACTGTGAATTTTGAATTATTTACTTACACTTTAATCAGGATGGTTATTTCTATCTATTTTATGATCTTTGTCCATCTAGATATCTCTTGCGGGATACTTTCACCTGGACTACATTTGTAGCTATTTAATGATTCCTAAGTCCGATGCATGACCAGTCCTTTATCCCAACCTCTCTTAAGTTCAATCCCCATTCAGGTCCTAAACACATTCACCTTTTTCCAGGTATATTAAGTTTGGTTCCTTAGAAGTGGGTATCAGGAAAAGGATCCATGTGAATACAAATAAATCAATAATCGATTTTTTTAAAATGATAAGAGATAGGGAATGTGGGAAGAAAAGAAGGCCCCACAAGAGTGTGATATCAAACAATGTGCCAGGGAGGTAAATGTTGGCTCAGCCCCACACGTGATCTCTGGAGACAGCATGGATTCTACACAGGTTTGCAGGTAAACTAGCTCCCTGAAAATATTGGAATTATTCCAAACAGATGGCAAGATAACTGGCTATATCCATCACTCATTGTTTGAGGGCTGCCCCAGAAATTTGAAGGTCTCCATGTATTAAGGCAAGTTAGCTACTGATAGCCTGAGGGAAGACTGCCTGCTAAGAAGCACACGTGCTAGCTGTTGAGAGTAAAGGTATACATGGAACTGACCATGAAAACAGTGTAAAAGGAATCATAGGAACATAGGCAGAGCCCTGACAGCATCTGCCATAACAATAATGCTAATATTAATGTAATCAGAAAAGGGGTCTTGATGCAGACCTCAGGAGTGTGTTCTTGCAGACAGGAATTCAAGGTGAGTCAAAGAGAGAAGAGAAGGTTCGTAGAAAGCTACCCTATTACAGAGCAGGGCATACTCAGAACACAAGAAGAGGAATGCTTCACAGTAAGAAGAGACAGTTTCTTGAAAGCTATTCCATTACTGAGTAGAGTGTCCTCAGAAAGCAAGTGGAGGAATTCACTATCTTTGCTTGAAGTTTTTCTTACACAGGAGTCTTACCTATGTAAAGAATAAACTAAGCTGTGCCTACATGTGGGTGGGCTGACAGCATGACAAAATGTATTATTCTATTGATTTAAATAAAACTATCTGTGACGTGTTAGTGTGTAAGTATATTAAAGTATAACTGTAATTATCTTGAAAGCACATATTGTTATGGTTATTGAGAGATCTAGGCTTTCTGTTTTTATAGGAGTTTGTCCTTACAGGCATTACCAAGCTGACTCCTTAGGTAAAAACATCTTAGGACTATGGGTCATGACTAGCAAAGACTGTGCCTTGCCAGTTTTAAGATGGAGTTGATTTTAAAATGGTGGCACTCTGGCTTTCCTAGGCTCCTGCTTTCCTAACATTAACATCCCAGCAAAAAGTTTCCATGAACATAGTAGTCTGCCCTTTGTACTTTTGCCATCATCTCATGTTGCTGGGTAAGGATTATTAGTCCCAGTGATAGATGGTTTAGGTGAATATAATTTAACATACATGCATATGTACACATACATAGACATAAATATTTTCAAATTCCTGTTTAGCAATTTATTCCATAATATTTGGTTTTACTATGAAAGTAGGTCATTTAATTAATTAATTAATGTTAGTTATACAAATTTATCTTTGCTATAGTGCTTTACATAAAAAGGGGAATAGTCTTTGGTAAAATGTATTTTTAAGTATTTAAGTCCCTTTTGAGTCAAGGTAGTTTCAGTCATCAAAAGTTTGCATGTATAAATTGCATGGAAAAGTCCCAAAGGAGTGCAAAGAGAACTCTTGTCTCTCATTTGGGCTACAAGAGACACACTTTTCTAAGATTATGACTCATGATAGTTGCTATAATGGTGCATATTAAAACTTTTTTTCAATAATATGAGAAACAATGTTGATTTTCAATTACACACGTAAAGAGCTGAATAGAGAGTATCTGGATTTCTGCCATGTATTATTCTTCTCTCCAGTTCCTGCCGATCAGTTGAACCTCTCAAAATAAGATATGGATCAAAGATGGACCTCAGAATTCCCCACTTATCAGTTCCTAGAATGAGAAAAGAGTTGAGAAACATCTAAATTCCTGATGTCTGTTGATTCAGACATGCACATAAAGCAAACTGCAGTAATTAGGGTCATATAAATTTCCTATAGCCATTAGCCCATCACCTTCCCTCATGGGAAAAGAGAACCAGGCAGTGGGATCTTCTCCTTGACTCCTGGAACCCCAGGCTGCCTTTCTTTTTATTTGAGTTAAGATGTGTTGGTTGCCTGGATACGGCTGAGCTTGTGAAAAAAATGTCACTGAGCTGCTGTCATGATGGCCATTTTATTACCATGATTTATAAATGGATTATCTGTGAAAATGGCTCTGGTTTTAATCATGCCCCCTGCAGGAAATGGCCTGTTCTTATTGGTTTGTTTCAATGACAGGTCGAGATATCCTGATATTTTATAACAGTTGGTAGATGCTTTACTGCAAATGATATCCATCCTCCAGAAAAAATTAGTTAACTTCTAATAGCATTAACCTCAGGAAGTGTATCCTGCCCACCCCCTCAATCTTATTTCAGATTCCTTCTTCTGGGGCATCAAGCTCCCCTTAGCTTTCCATCCTGTTTTCTCGTAATTCTGTTTCAAGGAGGAAGCAATCAACAACAGATTTCTTCCACAATGTTCCACATATGGGAATCACTCTTTGATGTTTTACAACAAATGGATTTCAAATAGTGAACAGGAGAAGATGCACAGATTCCTCGGTTTTGTGGTTCCACAGGAGGAAGGTGATGCTTTGCTAGGGTGCCTGGAATCAATCCTATCATCATCATCAATTTATTGAGTCTTTATCCCAAGCTGATAGCTTTACATATATTGTTCCTCACTTTCAAACCAAGGTGGATAATCTTCAAAATAGGAATTATCTTCACCACTCCCAGTCACACAAGGTTAATTTAAGTGACATAGTTAAGTGGTAGGAGTGAGATTCCACCCAGGTGTCTATGATACAAATCTTCAGTTATTTTCTTCACTTCATTGCTTCCTAAAGCTTATTCCATAGAACACTAGTTCTGTACAATTTCCAAACCTCCATTCCCTACCTGCAATAAGGTTAAAAAACAAAGAAGCAAAAATAAATATCTGGGGATAGTCTTGAAGATTCACTGTACATGCTAATATTCTGAAAGCTCTAAGAGTCTCTAATTTCTGTTGATAGTTTTAACTGATCTTTTCCCAAAACTTAGTCAAACATGAAATACATGTTTAATTAACACCTACTAATGGAACTCTGTAAATAAGGGTTTGCTGAAAGCTTCACTAGAGTATGTTTCAGTGCCTATACTTATAGATTTTTTCTTTTTTTAAAATCTACTTATATTTTTAGAAGTTTGATATAATTTTATAGTATTTGTAAAGTCCATACACTCTATCTTTTTTTTAATCACCACAGTAAACTTTATTTGAGCATGAATGCAGTGTGAGTACCATGCTTTTCCTCATTTCATCTCAATTACAAAGATCAAAAAGATTGAGGATTTTGCCTAAAATTACAGAGCTAGAAAATGGCTGAGCAGAGAGTTAACACCCTCATTTACTTTTGAATTTTGAACAAGGAATCACAAGAAAGTGTGCATAGACATTATCTAATCCTATTCCATTTTTTGGTCTTGGAAATATGAGTTTTTGAGAATTTAAGAGATGATACTCAAGCTTCAGGGTAAAAAGGCAGTGGAGCAAGGATTAGAATTCAAGTCTTCTCATCCTCAGGCTAAATCTGTTTCCAGAAGGATCTGAGTGGCACTTCTGGCAACACATCAAAAAGATTTTCTACCACTCCTTCTCATTTTAGAAGTTCAAATGTGTGAATCAGGTCATCTAGCATGCAATATGCTCAGCACCCTAATGTGTTTTGTAACTAAATGGAAACTCCACTTTTAATTAACTAACATTGATTAGCATATCAGTTACTCTAACTCATTACAAACAAATTAGACCAAAAATCTGACCATATGAGCATGAAATAAGCACTATTAAATTTCTATTTGGATAGAGATTGAACTAAACTGTTGCTTCTAGTATCAAAAAAGCCAAATTATCCTTTACTAAGATTTAACTTGGAATCAATATTAAAAGCTGTCTCTAATTTTCATTTTATATATTCCTCTCATCTCCGTAGAATTTCCTGGTCACCTGAATGATAATTAAATAACACCAAATGCAACTTACATTTAACTATAAGATTTTGTCAGACATAACAATTTTTTAATAGATCTTAACATTTGAACATTTGCAAGATTTAAGATTTCTTTTAGGAATGAAAAATAGACTATAGTCATGTTCTTTTTGTAGGAAGCATATAAACAGGATATAAACAAATCTGACCTAAATTGAGTCATGGTTATTTTCATTTATTAATATTCAGTTTTTAGAGGAGATTATGTGCTTCTTATAAACAGTAATTCCCCCTAGCATTGCAAGATTATTTGTGTATTATTAGTTGTGTCTGTTACTAAGGAACAGTAAAATAGAGAAAAATGCTAACCTTCTCAAGCAACTCAGATGATGACCAGGTAAAAAAACAACTGAAAAAAAAAAAAAAAAGAGAGAGAGAGAATACAGATTTGGAACTATAGGACTGTGACAATCAATATGGGCCTTATTTGGCTTACTAAAACATGTAGAAGAATACAGTAAAGGAAATGGAATACATTTGATTTGAAGTCAAGGTATCTGCATTTAAATCTTGTTTCTCCACTAACTTCTCATCCTTTGGTAAGAATGTTAATCTCTGTGGGCCCCTAAATATTTTCATCTGGAATTTACAGAGAGACTGCATTTCCTCCCTTACAGTTATTTACTGTGAGTTAAAGGTGATTGATGTAAGTTTCTAATACTTGTCTCACACAGTAGGAACTCAACACAAGGGGTGGTGTTACATTACCTTGTGATTGACGTTTGCATTAAAATGATGCTATATAGCCAGGTTTAGTTCCAAATGGGTTAGGAATTTAGTACAGTTCTACCTATAGGTACAGGGACTTTGGTTATGTCTGCTTCTTAAAGTTAAGATAGACAATTGATGCATAAGGAAATGTAAGTATATTTACTTTATTCACAGGCTGTAATCTCATTGGTGCTAATCAAATTGGAAACGTTGCATTATTTTTTAAGCTATTACAACTACATGTGAATAAATCTATGATTTATTAAACCATGCCTGTTACAGACAACTGTCATAGAATAAACTGAGCTGAAACTGAATGGCAGCCAGCAGGTTATCATCTTTCAAAGAGATCCAAAGCAGAACAGTGTATGAAAATATCATGAGTTAGTTCGGTTGTGTGATCTTTGCCAATACACTGATGTTCTGAGATTTCCAGCTTCCTTACATGTCAAGTGGCACTAATAAAAAATAATAATAACATATGGAGATCTATGTCTGAACCTATGACATAGATATATGTGTATTATTACTTTATATGCATATTGGGTTTTTTATTAGTGTGGCTTGTATATAGGTATACACATATGTACATACATAATCACTCTTTGGAAAATACTTATGCTACTGGAGAGTTATTAGGCACTAAGTTGAGGGTGGTGTCTATTTGTGTTCCCAAAATAACATCAGAGCAGAATATCAGGCCAATATTCCCCACATTCTGTTTGTCAAGAGGACATCAACCATACACCAAAGAAGCAGTCCTTAAAATTAATTTAAAAAAAAGAAGAAAAAAGGAATAAATTAGAGGTTTGTACTAGAGCAACCATCATGAAATCTGTTTGGTTCAACACAGTATTGGACAGTAGTTCCATTTAAATATGGCCTGACACTTGGCTCAGAAGTTGACTGCCATCTTGAATCTCTGAACCAAACCGCATGCGTGCATGGACACACACACACACGCACACACACACACACACACACTTATTCAATTCTTATGAAGAATATTATGAACTTGTACTTTAAAGCAATAATCTGATTTCTTATTGGGTTTTCAAATATAAGGTATAATTTCAATGCTTTTACAAAGAACTTCAGTCTTTCTGAAAATCATTGTTCTGATACATTGGCATAATCCTCGTGTTTTGATTTTCTTGTTTTCTATCTATATATAAATTATTTTATAGCTTTAATAATTAAAATTAAGATGTTTCAGTGTTTTGTTTTCCATTTTTCTGCATCTATTTTCTTCCTTAAATTCATGGAAAGTAAACCCTCTAGAGAAAAGGAGGAGGGTGACATTTAGAGTGAATCATGATGTGCCAGGCATAGAACAGAACACATTACAGTGGTGGTTTCACTTAATCATCACAACCAGCCTGAAAGATGGGTATAATTTCCAGATCTCACAAGTGAGTAAACCGAGCTCCGGAGTGGCTCTCCAGGCCAATGAGTGGTGAAAGAGCTGAGCCTTAAGCACGAGTTTTGGTGATTACAAACCGCAGTCTTTCCATGCTCTTGTTCCTTTGAGTGTCAGGGATCAAACTCCTCTTCTATATAACTTGTCAGTCAAACAGCATGTTGAGCTTAGTCTTATTATACAGAGCCTCCAATAAGTGACAATCATTGGTGAAAAAACAGGACTAGGTCATGCAATGAAATCATCGTTAAAGATTGGCTTTCTCTTATTGATGAAGTTAATGGGAAACCAGTGTAAAAATTTAATATATTAGCACTTCTCTGAAAGAGAAACTCATATGGGAACTTGGCAGTAATACAGATGAGATTCTTGTATGCTAGTCAGATGTGGTAGTGGTGCCCCTTCCAGCCTTCTCTTTCATTGCCTTCATCAATAGCACCAAGTCTATCCTGATATCATCATCAACATAAGTTAACGATGCCGATTCCTTCATCATGATTAGGATCATTCTACTGAAGATCACTGGAAATGCCCCTTTGGCCTGGGGAATCCAGTCAAGTTATCCAACTTTGGAGTAGCTTCTTCGGAAGTTGTCTCTCATATCTTAATGGTCTGCAGCTCTTTGTCATTGGAAAACTGAATTTCCTGTTGTAATGCCAGAATTTGCTTATTGTGAAAACTATTACCGCATTAGATGTCTCTGCCTGCAATTTATTTGGAAAGATAAGACAATATTTTAGAAAGTACTGCGAATACCACACAAATGATACGAGACACAAATAAACACACACACACGTGCAAAAAAATTGCTTGTTTCTTTACTGATGTCATTTGAAAAATCCTAGGTTCAATCATGTTGAAAATATTTTAAGCAGTAAAACTTTTTTCCAGACTCATTAAAATTGCAATATGAATGCCTGGCAAATGTATCTTTGCACATAGGATTTTCTTCTATTCCTGGATTAAGTCTGAATTCTCGCAAAGTCAGTATAATTATACAGAAGGCATATATGAATGTATGGGACTGTGATTATCCATAAACTTTGAAGATTTCTAAACAACATGTGCACAGAGCTTTATGTGGCAACACAGATTGGGGAAATGATGTCTTTCAATGAGATGAGAAGATGAGGATAAGATCATCATCAAAAGGAACAAAGAGTAAATGAAACAGCTCAGCTCCCTTGAAAAGAGTCAGGCACCTTTGTCATATGTGTTTTTAAAATTTCAGTAATGTCTAAATTGCACCGGACCCACTGGCTAGTTAAGCACCATGAACCTCCCAATAACTCCATCACTTAGCCCTAAAGCCATTTATCTTTTCTCTGTTTTTTTTTTTTTTTTTTTTTTTTTTTTGTACTTTTGAGTAATCTGGCATTATAGAAGGAAGTAACTATAATGGATACAGGCTCTGTGGAGCTCAGACTTTGAAGTCAGATAAAACTTCATTACATCCTTGAGTTAATTGCCAGTATTTTAAAGCCTTACTTTCAACAATATCCCCTTCTCAGCAAAGAAAAAAAAAATGCCCAAAACATTTCTCCTGCCACATGACGATGGGTGAAATTACAAACTTGTTTTACATCTGAATCTTAGTTTTGTCTATTTTTTTGTGTTATGGTAAAATTGAATAATACTTATCTAAAAAAATTGATGTACTAAATAAAAACATAAATACAAAGCCCTTAATATAAAGCTGGCATTGGTCAAAGCTTCCTTAATTATAAATGGTACCAGTAGTAGAAGTAGTAATAGAGACCTAGTAGTAATATCCATATGAATTATTTGTACATGATATTGTTAATTCTATTTATGAACAACCGTTTGTCTAGGGGTAGTTCCCAAGAGAAGAAAGGAACTAAGTATAAACGGTTCTGGAGCCCCATCATAAACCAGCACAATGGTTCACAACAAGTGAGCATTGAACTTAGAAAAGCCTTGTGTTAGTGAAGGGCTAGGTGCTTCCATGTTGTTCAATGCCCGCACTCACCACAGTAGACCCTTCTGCTAGATGAGTCCCATGTTTCCTACAGATGGTTTTCTTTAGTTCTCGATAAACATTTTAAAAATGTTCCTGGAGACTAGGAACATTGAATTGTTTGAATTGTTCTTTTAAAAAACCAAGTGGGCTGGGCATGGTGGCTCATGTCTGTAATCCCAGCATTTTGGGAGACCAAGGAGGGTGGATCACTTAAGGTCAGGAGTTCGAGACCAGCCTGGCCAACATGGCGAAACCCCGTCTCTACTAAAAATACAAAGAATTAGTTAGGCGTGATGGTGTGCGCCTGTTATCCCAGCTACTTGGGAGGCTGAGGCAGGAGAATCACTTGAACCCAGGAGTTAGAGGTTGAAGGGAGCCAAGATCATACCACTGCACTCCAACCTGGGCAATAGAGCGAGACTTCATCTTAAACAAACAGACAAACAAACAAACAAAAAGAAACCAAATGGACAACGCAGCAGTTCTTCCCCAAATCAGTCCATGTTATGATGAGACAAAAACAATAAAGAAGATCTTTACCAAATATAGACAAGAGGGACTATGAGCTTTAGAGGACATAATCAACACATTAAATGGTATTCAAAATAGAACAACTAAAATAGTGAAGAATTAAAAAAAATACATGTACCATTAGAATAACATTTAAAGGCCAGTGAGTGGTTAATTTGATGATGAGAAATAAGAGAGAACAAAGATCTGGCTACAACTATGTGTAACTCAGTGAATCCAACCATAATTTATATTAATCTGGAAGGTCGATTAAGGAGCAACAGAGGTCTATTGATTCCAATAAAAGGGTTCTGTAATAGAAAGACTTATCCAAATATATATTGTGCCATCTCAGAAGGTAGGAAGCCTCCATCAGTAAAATTATTCAAGAAGTTAAATGTTCCTTGTTCATGAATCAATCTGGAGGAGCACATACATATGATAGGGGCAAACTTTCAATGCCAAGATGGTCTTGAAGGCAGACCTGATGGTTTTGTGTCTGTTGAGTGTTGATCAAGTTTTCCTGCAATCATAGTAAATCCTGGTGCTTTAATTTCCCAAAAAGATCAACTGAAACTACATTTTCAAGTCCTAATTATAATCTTAGACTCAGAATCTTGAAGCAGGAAGGGACCTCAGTAATAATGAAGACCAGCTTCTACAGAGAGGTTTCACCATCCTGGCTGTCTGGGACAGAAAGTTGAATAGGGGCCTGTGGCTTTGTCCTGGCTCTGCAGGCGTGAGTGCCTGATCCTTTAATAATGACTGCAGTGGGCCAAGGGAAAAGTTGAGTGGGAGGAGGAACATATTCATGTGCGTGTAACATCTTTGCCCAATCTATGCTGCTTTCTTGCTTCATAAGTGGGACTCAGAAAATTTCAGTTTCCCAATGGCAATGCTTAGGTTATGGAAGAGGACATGAAGTGTTATTGGTGATGTGCCGTGAGTAAATTGACTATATGTAAGATTTCTACCGACCTTTTGTTAGTTTGTTCTTTAGGTTGTGTACACCACATATATAGAACTTGACTCAAATGTGTTAATGATACGTTTGAAAGACCCTTCAATAATGTCACTTACGTGGAACTTATAATGTGTCAGGCACTATTCTGAGCACTTTTCTACCTATACTTTACTCATCTGATCCTCACTCATAACACATCTATGAAGTAGTTCTATTTTGATAAATCCTATTTTACAGATAAAAAACTAGACCCAGAGAGGTTAAATATCTTGCTAAAGTGCTGTGTAAGCAGCAGACCTAGAATTTGAACCCACAAAGCCTGGACCCAGAGCCTGTGGTCTGAAGTACTTTGTTGCTTTCCTCTGTGGGATGTTTGTTAGACTCCTGAATAAATAATTAGTGGCAGAGCCTCTTTACAATATCTTAAGCTTATCCCTGGATGTTCCAAGAGGACTTTTCTGGATATTCCAGTATTGCACAACCCTCTAGCACCTTAACTAGGGAGAAAGAGATGTGTACAAACCACTTGGAAGAGGCTACTGATCGTTATCAAAATAGGTTTAAGAAGAAAAGAAATAAAATTCCCATTCTCTCAAGATAAATAAAGACTTCTTTCATGAGGAAACAAGACACATGAGGCCAAAACCAATCCTAGAACTCTTTTAAAATTAATGAATGGAGACATTGGCAGAATAGTGTGTACCCTCTCTCCTTTTAGTAGTCACTCATTTTCTTAAGAACTTCTTTTATGACCCACTAGGCTACAAAAATTACATTTTTAAAGCTCTGAAAAGAAATTAGCAAAATTAGCAGTTTAAAATAAAAAATATTTCTTTATAAAAGATGCATGGCCTAACCACAGTGTTCCTTCAAATTGTGTACAACATGCTAATTACAAAGGACCCCAGGTTTTGTTAAGTATAGGCTTTTAATGAAAGAAACATAGTCATAAGACTAACTGCAGCTGTTGAGGAAAAAAAAAGGTTGAAATAATAGGGTAGACTGGAGAAGAATGAGAGAAACAAATCTGCTTGCAACAAGATTTGTGGACCAGTGCCAGCAAAAGTCAAAGGGAGGAGGGTTCCCAATTCTGTATTTCCCCCTGGGTTGAGGATGGTATATGGGCACGTGTGCTTACAGGACACACAATTCCCAACTTGCCCATTGGCAAGTCAAACTTATAGGCAGCTTTGGCCTGGAACAAGGGCTTAATCAAAGAACAATGGCTTCAAGGCTATGAAAAGTTTAGGACACTGTATTATAATAAAAATCATGAAAGAATTCTGAGATAAATGCATAAATGACATGGAAAACAATGTAGGGACACAAATGCCATCAGAAGAAAGAGGGTCAGGTAAATTTTTATGAGAGATACAGAAAAATATACAGATATAAAAAGGATCTTTTTAGAAGAGATACAGATTACAATTAATTTTATAATTTAACTGTAAAATTAATACAAGGGCAGAGGTGTTTACTCCCAATGACCACCTGGGCTTAGATATATAACTAAGGAGAGTCTTCTCTTTCTCTCCCATGATTCCAACTATCTTAGAGCTCTCTACACCCTCTTCAATGTGCCTTTCCCCCTTTCTCTTACCTCGTCCAGTTTTATTCTTTCTCAGTGCTTACCTTTATCAGAAACTTATTGTTCATGTGTGTCATTATTTGACATTCTTTCTTTCCAATTAGAAAGTCAGCTTTGTGAGTGCTAGTGGCTTGTCTATCATATTGATTATATCAGATTGATTGTCATATTGAAGCAGAGGTGATCTGCTGCTTCACCATCTTCTTCCAGTTATTCATCGAACACTTATTGTTCAACCACTACACTCTACACATTAGACTCTTGTGAAGCAGTGACAAACAATGCCTAACCACTCTATTCAAGGATCTTGGGTCTAGTAAGAAAAACAAATGTGTGATAGGGCAAATAAAGCACAGAGGGAGAATTGGATGATGTTAGGCAAGGACAGATGCCAGGGAGCATCCCTGGGCTACATAATTAAAACTCGTCTGAGTCAAATTACTAGGGAAGGTTGGAAGGCAAGTAGTGAGGACCTGGATGTTTTGGTAAATGGAAAGACGACTTTCACAGCTAACCTACAGTGTAATGTCATAATGAAGCCTGATGTAGTGAGTTTGGATGAAATTTTAAATGAATGAATGGCACACACAGGAATAGTCCCCATTGGGAATTTGACCAGATATCGGGTTTTGGATTCTAGGAAGAGCAGGGTTATACGTCAAGAACTTGGTAGCCTTAACAGAACAGGAGACATTGAGTAGTTCAGAGTCTCAGAGACAAGGAAAAATCTCAGATATCAGGCAAAAGAAAAAAGATCCAGGTGGGACTCATAGGCGAGGTGATCTGCTGCTTCACCGTCTTCTTCCAGTTATTCATTGAACACTTATTGTTCAACCACTACACTCTACACATTAGACTCTTGTGAAACAGTGACAAACAATGCATAACCACTCTATTCAAGGATCTTGGGTCTAGTAAGAAAGATAAATGTGTGATAGGGCAAATACAGCACAGAGGGAGAATTGGGGTGATGTTGGGCAAGGACAGATGCCAGGGAGCATCCCTGGGCTATATAATTAAAGCTTATCTGAGTCAAATTAGTAGGGAAGGTTGTAAGGCAAGTACCGAGGACCTGGTAATTAACAGAGTAATTAGTTATCTGAAATGTGGGGAATCAGGAAATGGAGAGCTATGAAACAAGACCATTTTCCTTTTTACACATTTTTTGGAATGCATATGGAACTAAGATAGTGTGAGTTGGCAAACTCACCCAATACTACATAATATTGTATTCCCAATACCATAGTCATTATTCACATGCAGCAATTTTAAGTTAAATTTTAATTAACTAAATTGAATTACATTAAAACTTTTGCTGCTTATTTTAAGTGTTGGATAGCCATATTTGGCTAGTGGTTACCATATTGGACAGCACAAATATAAACCATCCCTAACATTACAGAATGTTCTATTAGACAGTGCTGGTCTAAGGAGTATTAGCTATAATCTGCCTTTCTTTCTTTTTATTTATTTATGTATTTTTTGCCTAAAGTCAAATGAACCAATTTTCTATGGCTCACAGTACTCAAAATTCTCTAATGTCATTCATTCATTGATTCATTCATTGATTCAAACAACAGTTAAGGGGCTGTTATGTACTAGTTTCTGTTTGGTGATTTGGAGACACAAAAATAGATACGGCCAATCTGTGAGCTTCTCTTATGGGATATAGATCCTGTGGAAGAAGAAGACAGTGAATAACTAAACACATCTAGACATGATAAAATTTTGGTAGTGATATACAGTTCAAAATGTCTAAAATGTTGTTAGTTCAAATTAGTCTGAATGGAGCCATTCTATGTCTGAGCTCCCCTTCCTAGAGTTAGTATTATTAACACCAGAAGTAAAATTTTTATCTGTTGTTGTTTTGCTTCTGAAATAAATGTCAGTCCTTTCAAATGCCTGCATACTGTACATTTTTCTCAATTGCCATATTTTCTAGTTCAAATAACAGGGCAAGTGATCTCATAAGAGCATTCATTTTGATTTTCTATGTTTGTGAATATATTGATAGAAAGCATGACAAAAGAAAAATTAACTGAAATTTAGCTAATGGTTTGCTCAGTCATTATTGAAAAGCATATACAGATAATCATGGAAAATCTAGGGATACTGTATCATTATCTGGGATCTGTGGCATTTTTCTACGTTGAACTAGAAAGACGGCATCTATGTATTTCTATCTTTAAAAGCAGATCAGTTTTAGAAAATGCACAACTTTGTCAATCCTATAATCATATTATGAACTAAGTAAGAGAGAAAGAAGAGAGAGTTAAACACCACCACCTGATTAGATAGCATCATCACCTTGCTTTAATGTAAACTTTTGGTTTAGAGAAGCATTATTATGTAATGCTCTTAGCTTAAAAATCTCAAATATTTACTAAACTTTAAAATTTTAGGAAGATGTTTGCCTTAGATGTCATAAATGGCTCTTTGAGGTTTAATGATTACTTACTATCATTGCATCATTTTGTTAAACTATAACATTATTACAGAAAAATGTCAAGGCAATTATTTAACATTTGCCATTTGGTTTAGTGGAAACAAACATGGACTATGCAGTCAGGCCCCAAATGAGGCTTGTTCTGAGCCTCATTTATTCAACATAGCAGAGACTTCATGAGTGAAGTCTCATGAGTTTCCCTTTTTGTCCATCCAGAGGTAAGTATAGTTTATGTATGTTTGCTTAAGCAAGATTAAAGTTGGCAACAATTGAGATTTCAAAGTTGGCAACAACTGAGATTTAATCTTGGTGTTAGAAGCAGCCCATGTTTTTTCTAATGCAGAAAATCTCACAGCACTGAAATTTAAAGTTACAGCTGGAAGTAAAATGAATAATTGCTTATTATCTCTATCTTTCTATAGAGTGGTGACTAGGCCCAGTGAAATTCAGTAACTTACCTAATTCTCAGCTGATTTTTAACGCTTCGTCATGAGGTTGGGCCATCCATCCAGTGCTCTTTTCTTGATGACCTAAGATGGGATTAATTCCTCTCAGGTCTTTTTATCAGGAAAATTGTTCCTTTGATATATTCAGAATCGAGCCATCTGCTTGAGTGCAATTCTGTCATCATTATCTGTCAGAGCAGAACAAAAGCAAACTCCTAAGCCTAGTGACAGAGTTTTTGAATGTTTGCCTGCTCCATACCTCATGTGATCCCCAGTGTGGGAGGTGGAGCCTGGTGGGAGGTGTTTGGGTCATGGGAAAGGCTCCCTCATGAATGGCTGGGTGCCTTTCCAGTGGTGATGAGTTACTTCAAGATCTGGTTGTGAAAAAGACCCTGGGACCTGCCCACTCTCTCTCTCTCTCGCTCCCTCTCCAGCCATGTGACACACCAGCTCCCCCTTTGCCTTCTGCCATAAGGAAAAGCTTCATGAGGCCTCATTAGAAGCTGAGCAGATATTGGCGCCATGCTTGTATAGCCTGCAGAACAGCGAGCCAAATAAAACTCTTTTCTTTGTAAATTACCCAGCCTCAGGTATTCCCTTATAGCAATGCAAAGTGAACCAATACACGTAAATAATTATTTCAGTAGTTGAAAGTATGGGAAAACTTCGGATGTTTATTCTTTGTTTTGGTTTGACTGTGCCTCTGTTTCTCCACCAAGAAACAGGCAGGAACTCATCTTAGTCAGTGTAACTACTTTTGTTCATTTGGGCATGGTTAGAAGCATGTCTGTAGTCAGTGAACAGGTTAGTGCTAGTTCTGTGAGGCAGAAAAAATTCTCCCCACTCCTCAATCTATTTTTCTAAGTTGTGCAGGGAAATTTCTGAGAAATAGGGATACAGACTAGGAATCTAAGTGCTACTCTTATCACACGCTATGAGGTTAAACAATTATGGCACAGAGGCTATTTCAGTAGTACCTGAATGACGTGTGTGTGTGTGTGCATGTGTGTCTAAATGATGTCTATATATTATTGTACATATATATTTAACCATTATATACATGTGTATGTGTAGGTAATGATTAACTTGTTTATTCACTTTAATTATTATCTTACTTGTTCATCCCTTCACTCATTTATAAATTGTAGTGGCAGTGTTTATAATAAAAGTAATAGCCAAACAAAGTAAACGTAGGCCTTTGCCCTTACAAAGGTGACTTAAAGACCCTACTATGTGCCAGATTTTTTTTTTTCCAAATAGCACATATTGAAGAGTACATGGCTTTGCTCAGGGGTGTGTCCCTGAAGATGGAATCCTTTCTCATGCATGTTTAAAGAAAGAGACTGCCAAGATTTTCTTGAAAAATGGAGTTGTTTGAATAATTTAGGAGATTGTCAGTGATGAGACCACATAGAGCTTGTGAAACAGGCTACAGCATAAGACGTGGTTCCTCTCATGGAGCTTGGTTTTAAAAGCTTCCCTTCTTGGGAAGGAGGGAGGGACCTCTAACTGTGTGGTTATTTACTTCCTGTTGCTAAGCATCTCAACCTCCACAGAATGTATGCTGTTTTTATTGACATTTTGAAGAATAAGCTTCAGTAATCATAAATTATTCTCTCTCGTTTACTTATGAGGAGAAATCTTCCAATTCCTGGAGATTGAGATTGTTAAAGTCTTTCAATAGAGCATTTTGGAGATGTTTTGGTAAATGGAAATGATGACTTCCACAGCCAACCTACAGTATAATGTCATTGCCTCTTGTCTATAAAATGATGCTGCATTGTCTATAGTTTGAATCACTAAATTATGTCTCCCTTAAGCTGAATATATCACAATAGAAGAATTTTTAATATTATAGTTTACAAAAAACATTATTGTCGCTTTTGGTTTCCATTCATTTTTTTCTTTCTGTTCAGCTACAAAGACATTGAAGTTTCAATTAAATAGGAGATCACATGACATAGTATGTTAAAGCCAGAAGTAAGAAATTTACCCTACAACTTACTAGGTACTTGGCTATGGGTGCTTTGAGCAGCACTCTTTGTATATGGATTGTATGTTAATATAAATTATATGAAATTATATAATAACATATACATTATGTAAGTATGTAAATAGTACATTATATAAGTATGTAAATGCAATAGTATGTAAATAGCATAATAGTAAAATAATGCATTATGTAAATATGTAAATAGTACATTATATAGTTATGCAAATGTAATAGTATGTAAATAGTAAAATTGTATAATAATACATTATATAAGTATGTAAATAGTACATTATATAAGTAAATGTAATATGTAGATAATACAACAGTAGAATAATTATATAAGTATGTAAATAGTACATTGTATAAGTATGAAAAGGTAATAATATGTAAATAATACAACTGTAGAATACATTATATAAGTATGTAAATGGTACATTTTATAAGTATGTATAGGTAACAATATGTAAATAATGCAACAGTAGACTATATTATATAAGTATGTAAATAGTATATATTATATATGTATCTTTTAATAGTATTTATTATACTGTAAGTATATTTTATATGTATTACATAATAAATAATATAAAAATATATGTAATTACAAATACTAATTAACAACTGCCATGAGTAGAGTGTTAGAATAAGCCAAAAGGAAAAAAAATCCACCCAGGCCATGCAGTTAAATTTGAATTTAAGGCAAAAAATAGAAATCTTTTTAGTATAAATATGTCCCTTGGAATATTTGGGACACATTTACCTTAAAATAATTTACTGTTTATCTGAAATTGAAATTTAACTTACTGTCCTCTATTTTAAATGGTAATCTTAGTTATGAGAGTAATGTAAGAGAACTCTCAATGTAACTCACATTGGTTTTATTTATTTCTCCTTGGATATTAGTATACACTTGCTTAATAGTGTAACATTTGTAAGTACAATCTCTGCAGGCAAATATTATGGGTTCAAATCTTCACACTCTTTTCTGTCGGCCATGTGAATTTAAACAATTTGGTTAATCTCTCATTGTTCCAATCTTCTGATATTTAAAATGGAAATAATAATAGTACAGATGTCATATAGTTTTTAAATAAGTTAAATATGTTAATATCTGTAAAATACTAAGAATCTTCCTTTTACATGAACTTATTAGCATACTTAATACCCTCTCTAGTTTTTGCAACAGAGTATACACCCAATAAATATGTTGAACAAGAATACAGTCAATATATATGTTGAAAGAAGAAACAGAGAGAGAGAGAGAGAGAGAGAAGGTTAGCAGGTGGGGTAGAAGAGTCGTCTGCAGTATTAAAAAGTACTATAGAAAACAGATTCATATGTAATTAGGAAGATTAATCACACTTTCTCACAAGCAAGTAAGTTTACCTCTAAAAATGATTGACAACTTTTGCTTTATTTCAAGGAGAAGTAGCATCAAATTTAATAATAATAATAAAAAAAGCTGCCAAAATCTTACCCAAGTAAATACATTTGGAAAAGAATCCATCTCTTGGCTTATGGGGAAAATAATAAAAAGATGTGTAGTGATGACACATTTCAGGAATAAATTTACAGACGATTGTTGAATACAATTCCACAAAGAGACCTTAGGGAAGGAGAGTCTATACAGTAATTAAATCACTTGTTACCCTCACACTTTGGCAGATCTACAGAGATGTCACTTAAGGGAATTTGAAGACTGCTCTCCTGTGGGAGCACTTCACTTTGGGGAACCTGAAGCTTTATTTAAACAGGTCATTTGCTCAATAGATTCTAACAGTGATTATAGCAGTGACAGATTTTCTTGTTATTGTAAGACATGTAACAAACCTTTCATTTATTCACCTACCAAGCCAAGTTGGATTTGTTCAATGGAGGTAGTTATACTTTAAATGTTTCAGAATAAGGATTTTGGATACTTTAAAAAAATCTAAAATTAATGGAATGGAAACTAGTGCTATTGTTATATTCTCTGAATCCAACCATCAGTCTTACATATTATTAACATTGTATAGAGGACAAAATGCAGGACCTGCCTGCTCAGTAAAGGCACCCATTTAGGAAATGCTGCAAGGTTCTTTTACCAGAAAGTGTGAGACTATGGATCAGAGTGTCCAAATTATCTGGTCAGTCATTTGAGGGTGAAGCATGGAGGTGAATAACAAGAAGCTATAGTATCAAATAGGGACTGATGAAGCAGGAAAAGACAGAAAGAGATAGTAGACAGAGCAGGAGCCTGGGAGGCCAGATTTCCTTTGCTGAAGTTGGGGATGTGGTACAGAAACATCTGCAGTTTGGTTTTGCAGATAGCCAAGATGCACAAGAGTAGGCAGTCCAGGTGAATTGTGCAAGACAGATTTTTTTTCCCCCTTTTCTCATGTCTCACCCACTTTACTTGGTAGGAAAATACTTGATAGGAGGGATATTGCAGGTGGATTGTAACAACAGGCCATGGAATCACACAGACCAGAAAGCAATGCAGGCTCTGAAATTTAGCACCTTGGAACATTTACTTAGCCATGATCTACCTTGGTTTCCTCATTCGTACAAAGATGGTTAAAAATTGTAGATACCTTAAAAGGTTATTGCGATTAATGATTATTGGACTTCAGTACTGACTTAATAGCTATGATAAAACAGCTGATAATAAGTCAGCAGACTCTGAAGAGTCTCTGTACCTTGATTATTGACAAATTCATTGTTTCACTTCTTACTGAAGGACATGTGTGTGGGGAGGGAATGGGGAACTGGTTCACAACATAATCTAAAGGAGATCAAAAATCTGTAGGGACAGGTACCCAGTGATAATAATATATATGAAAACACAAGCCATTTTTATTCTTCATCCCAATTAACTTGAGATACTCTAATGATGAAGCACTCAATTGCACTATAACCTCCTTGAGTGAAGTGCAGCTTGTTTCCTCTCTCAGTTTTTGTTTCTTTTTAATATGCAAATGTGAGTGTGCGATCTTCAGTGTGTCTGCATAAGCTAACTTAAAAGTGAATTTAAGTACGGTTTTCTGAAACATTTCTACTGAAATAAATTACTTAAAATTTAAAAAAAGGTTATTGTGAAAATAAGTCAGTAATACTTATTTTCTCTGTGCTTAACATTGAGTCCAGCACAAAATAAGCTCAAATAATGTAAACTGCTATGATCACCAGATGCATTATTTAGCTTCCTACCACTTTGTGTAGCACATTTATCACCTGGACTTATAGTGGATATTAAACAAATACATATATTTACATGTAGTTTTTTCTGCATTAGGTCATTGTCTATATATGTCCAAGAACTTACAATTTATGTAAAATGCATTCATCACAACATTGCAAAAAGTTCATCAGAACAAATGAAATACACTAGATTTTTATAAGTATAAATCTTAATAATTCAAAATTATAATATGAGTGGAAAACCATGTATTTACTCAGAGGACCATGAAAGGAATAGGTGAGAAATGGAAAAAGACTCAGTAGCTGAACACTTGTGCTTATGCAAAGATTACTTTAATCCACCATAATCAGAAAGCACTGTTTTCCATTTATCAAAATGTATGTATTCAGATGTACACACTTGAGCTCAGCCAGTCATATGGCACCCGCTTTGTAAAACAACTGGTTTATGGTAAAGAGGAAGTCTAGGACCAAGGAACAATGCAAAGGACATGGGTATGTGACAATCTCAAAAATGTGAGAAAGAATCTTGCAGCTAAGCTGCTGCAAACCAATTTTATCTCAATAGGACATGCTAAATCATGGCTTATCACCACCTCCACTGTCACCTTCCTATTTAAAACACCTTCCTTGGACTAATTAAGATATGTAATCAGATTATTTACCATGCCTAGTAAAGCCTGGAAACATATTTGTGCCATGAAGATAATCACTCATCAACATTCTGAAATGTGTTGATCACAACAAGCAACACAGAGAGGAAATCTGTATTAATGACTATTTCTAAGACAAAGGGATGGTGGTAGATTATTTGTAAATATGTCAGAAAATGTTATGTAGGTTTCGGACATTTTATCAAGAAGATAAATATGAACAAACTGTAATCTGCAAAAGACTTCTGCCAGTTGGGACAGGAGAAAATATATATGAATCACAAAATTTTCCTGAATTAGTTACCTTTACTTTGTGTTATTAGAGTTTAAATTTATAGGTAATCTTGTGTACAAAGTGTCAAATCTGTTGTAATAATATTAAATAACTTAGTGTTTCAGATTAAAGTTGAATATGAATTATATATATATGAATTTTTGATTATCTTAAAATTATATCATAAATCTGATAATTTATAAAATTATCAGTCTAGATTTTATAGATTTTGAATTGATCATTAAATTTAAAGGCATAATTTTGCTTATCAGACCAGTGTGTAACTTCTTATAATACATTTAAAGTACAAAAAAAATCTTAATTTTCATTTACTTGTAGAGTACAAAAAGTACGACTATATTCTAACATTTTTCTTGGTCAGGAAATGATTTCAATAAACTTATATTATTTTTATTTCTGTCAAGGGGAAAACATGAACAAACAATAGATTTATATCAGAGGACTGATGATATAACCTCAGATACTTTAAGATTGCCTTCATTATAATTTTATTCTCAATTATTCTATATCAGATTATGTTAAAACTTTAAGCTAAAGTCTCATTATTTTGGAGACAGGACATGAATCCTTTCTCAATAATAAAAAAAATGATATCTTTGAGAATTTTCTTCCATTCAGAATGAACCACAATATTTTTCCTACCATAAATATAAACAATGCACATTGCAATATATCTTTCTTTAGTTTAGAAATAGCTATTTTCTTCCAATATACAATTTTTTGCTGTTTCATTTTTATTCTTATTTACACTCTTTAGCACTCTAACATCTTGTTATAAAATTACAAATAATAGATTCAGATCTTTACTATATTAAATAAATCTCAAAGGCCCAATTGATCTGAAATATGAGTCTCAGAACTTGAGAAGATTTTTACATTAACTTTACATGACTCATATTTAAAGTAATTTAAACAAAGATTACAATGAATATACCACTATTATTTTATTTTTCATTCTTTATTTTTATCATTGGATTTCTTGTTTCTTATTGGTATATAATATTTGTACATATTTTTGGTGAACATATGATATTTCATTACATGCATAGAGTCTGTATAATGATCCAGTCAGGGTATTTGAGGTGTCCATCACCTCTAGTATTTATCAGTTTTATGTATTGAGAACATTTCAAGTCCTCTCTTCTACCTATTTTGAATATACAATACATTGCTGTTATCTATGTCACCCTACTCTGCTATCAAGCATTATAACTTATTCCTTCCATCTAACTGTATGTTTGTACCCATCAACCAACCTCTCTTTAATCACTCCATACAAATAAATACCCTTTCCAGGATCTGATATTAACCATTCTACTCTCTACCTCCATGAGATCAACTTTGTTAGCTCCCACATGTGAATGAAAATATGCAATATTCGCCCTTCTGTTCCTGGCTTATTTCACTTAACTCTAGATTCATTCATGTTGCTGCAAATGGCATGATTTCATTCTTTTTTATGGTTGAATAGTATTCGGTGTGTGTGTGTGTGTGTCACATTTTCTTTATTCATTTGCCCATTGATGGACATTTAGGTTTTTTCCATATCTTTCCTATTGTGAATAGTGCCGCAGTACACATGGGAGTGCGGATGTTTCTTTGATACATCAATTTATTTTCCTTTAGATGAAAACCCAATAGTGGGATTGCTGGATCTATGGTAAATCTATTTTTAGATTTTTTTTTTTTTAGAAATCACACTCTTTTTCACAGTGACTGAACTTATTTACATTATCACCAACAACATATAATAATTCTTATTTATCCTACCCTCACCAGCACCTGCTTATTTTTGCCTTTTTAATTATAGCCATTCTAACTAGGGTAAGGTAATATTTCATTGTGGTTTTGATGTGTATTTCCCTGATGATTAGTGACGTTGAAAATTTCTGTCCTGTGTATATCTTCTTTTGAGAAAAGACTGTTCCTGTATTTTATTCATTTGTTTAAAATTACATAAATTTATGGGGTACAAGTGTAATTTTTTTTACATGCATAGATTTCACAGTGATGAAGTCAGGGCTTTTAGGCTATCCATCACCAGAATAATGCACATTGTACCCATTAAGTGATTTCTCATCATCTGTCCCCCTCCTACCCACCCTTCTGAGTTTTCATTGTCTGTCATTCCAAACTCTACATCTATGTGTACACAATATTAGCTCTCACTTATGAGAACAGGTGGTATTTGTCCTTTTGTGCCAAAGTTGTTATACTTAAGATCATTGCTTCCAGTTCTCTTTATGTTGCTACAAATGACTTGATTTCATTTTTCATGCCGGATTAGTACTTCATTGTTTATACATCTCACAGTTTTTTCATCCATTTTTCTATGGATGGTCACTTGGTTGATTCTATCCTTGTTGTTGTAAGTAGTGTTGTGATAAACATGAGTGCAGGTAACATTTTGCTAACATGATTTATTTTTTCCTTGGGTAGATACCCAGCATAGCATTGCTGGATCAAATGATAGTTCTATTTGTAGCTCTTTGAGAAATCTCCTTACCGTTTTCCATAGAGATTTTATTAATTTACATCCTTACCAAAAGTGTATAAGACTTACCTTTTCTCCACATGCTTGCCAACATCTGATATTTCTTGTCTTTTTAATAATTACCATTATGAATGGTGTAAAATGATATTTCACTGTGGTTTTCATTTGGATTTCGCTGATGATTAGTAATGTTGAGCATTTTTTCATATGCTTGTTGGTAATCTGTATGTTTTCTTTTGCAAAACATTTATTCATGCCCTTTGCCCACTTTGTAATGGGATTATTTAGGGTTTTATTTTTTTACAGTTGAGTTTCTTGTACATTCTGGATATTAGCCTTTTACGAGGTGAACAGTTTGCAAATATTTTGCCCATTGAACAGGTTGATTCTTCATTCTGTTAATTTTTTTCATTGCTGTGCAGAATATTTTAGTTTACTATACTTCTATATGTCTATTTTTGTTTTTATTGCTTATGCTTGTGAGGCATTAGCCATTAAATCTCTACCTAGACTAATGTCCTGAAGTGTTTCCGTGTCTTCTTCTTGTTTTATAGTTTTAGTTCTTACTTTTAAGTCTTTAATCCATCTTCACTTGATTTCTGTATATAATGAACAATAGGGGTCCAGTTTCATTCTTCTGCATATAGTTATCTAGTTTTCCCAGCACCGTTTATTGAAGAGTGTGTCCTTTCCCTAGTGTAGGTTCTTGACACTTTTATCAAATTCAATTGGCTATAAACACATCAATTTATTTCTGGGTTGTCTATTCTCTTTCATTGGTCTAGGTTTCTGTTTTTACAGCACTACTATACTGTTTGGTTACTATACCCTTGTGATATCTTTCAAAGACAGGGAGTGTGATGCCTCCAGCTTTGTTCTTTTTGCTTGAGATTGCTTTGCCTGTTAGGGCTTTTTTGGTGCCAGGAAAACTGGATGGCTATATGTAAATTTTTGGATTTATTTTTTCTATTTCTATGAAAAACTGCATTGGTATTTTGATAAAAATTGCATTGAATCTATAGATTGCTTTGGGCAGTATGGCTATTTTACAGATATTAATGAGCATGAGAAGTATTTCCATTTTTCGTGTTCTTTACAATTTCTTTCATCAGTCTTTTGTCCATTTCCTTGTAGAACTCTTTCACCACTTTGGTTAAATTTATACCTAAGTATTTGTTTATAGCTATTGCAAATGGGGTTTCTTTCTTGATTACTTTCTCAGCTTATTTATTATTGGATTATAGAAACACTACTGATTTTTGTATGTTGATTTTGTATCCTGTAACTTTACTGAATTTATTTATCAGATCTAAGAATGCTTTGGTAGTGTCTTTAGGTTTTTCTGTATGTAGGATTATATCATTAGGAAAGAGGGATAATTTGACTTTCTCTTTTCTAGTTTGAATGCGTTTTATTTTTTTCTCTTGCCTGATTGTTCTGGCTACGACTTCCAGTATTACGTTGAATAGTACTGGTGAAAGGAAGCATCTTTGTCTTGTGCCAATACTTAGAGGAAACACTTTCAGCTTTTCCCATTCAGTATATTAGCCTTTATTATGTTGAGGTATGTTCCTTCTCTGCATAGTTTATTGAGAATTTCTGTTATACAGAAACACTGAATTTTATCACTTGCCTTTCTGTATCTATTGAGATGATCATATGGTTTTTTTTCATTCTGTTAATGTGATATATCACATTTATTAATTTGCATTCTCTGATCCATCTCTGGAATTGCACATGATCATGGTGTATTATCTTTTTGATGTGCTATTAAATTTGGTTTGCTAATATTCCATTGAGGATTTTTGTGTCTATGTTCATTAAGGATATTGGTCTGTAGTTTTCTTTTTTTGTTGTGTCTTTGTCTGATTTTGGTATCAGGGTATTTCTGGCCTCATAGAACGAGTTACGGAGAAATTCCTCCTCTTCAATTTTTTGGAATAGTTTGAGAGGAATTGGTGTTAGTTCTTTGTAAATTTGGTAGACTTCATCAGGGAAGCTGCCCCCAGTCCTGGACTTTTCTTTGTTGTAAGACATTTATTATTGAGTCAGCCTAATTACTTGATATTGGTCTATTCAAGTTTTATATTTTTCCTGATTCAATCTGTGTAGAATGTATGTGTCTGGAATTCATCCACTTTCTCTATATTTTCCAGATTTTTTGTGTTATAGTTGTTCATAGTAGCCTTGATGATCTTCTGTGTTTCTGTGGTATCAGTTGTAATGTTTCCTTTTTCCTTTTTGATTTTATTTGGATTTTATCTCTTTGTTTGATTTGTCTATCTAGTACTTTATCAATTTTGTTTATCGTTTCAAAAAACCAACTTTTTCTTTTATTGACTCTTTGTGTCATCTTTTAGTCTATATTTAGTTTAGTTCTGGCCTCATATTTATTATTTCTTTCCTTCAATTAATTTCGGATTAGATTTTTTACTGCTTTTCTGTTCTTTCAGGTGTATCATTTGATTTTGTATTTAAAATCTTTCTACTATTTTATGTAGGCATTTGTTGCTATAAATTTTCTTCCTAGCACTGCTTTTGCTGTATTCCATAGGATTTTGTATGTTATGTTATGAAACAGCTTTTACTAGTTTCAAAACATTTGTAGATTTTCTCCTCAATTTCTTCCTTGAACCTATGGTCATTTAAAAACATGTTGTTCAATTTTTATGTATTTGTACAGTTTTCAAAGCTCCTTTTGTTATTAATTTCTTGTTTTATTCCACTGTGGTCTGAAAATACACATGATATGATTCAGTATTTTGAAATTTTGAGGAACTTGTTTTGTTTCATAACATACGGTTTATCCTGGTGAGTGTTCTATTTGCTGATGAGAAGAATGTGTTTTATGTAGCTATCGGATGAAATGTTCTGTAAATGTCTGTTATGTTCATTTGTCTAAACTGCAGCTTAAATCCAATATTTCTTTATTAATCTTATATCTAGATGATATGTCTAACACAGAGTAGAATGTTGAAGTATCTAACGATTATTGTATTGCAGTCTATTTCTCCATTTACATATGATATTATTTGTTTTATATATCTGGGCGCTGTAGTGTTGGGTGCATAGATGTTCAGATTGCCATCTTACCGTCCTGCATTAACCCCTTTATCATTATATAATGACCTTATATGTTCAGATTGTTATATTACCCTTCTGCATTAACCTCTTTATCATTATATAATGACCTTCTGTATAGTTTTTTACTGTTTTTGACTTAAAGTCTATTTTATCTGATACAAGTATAGATACTCCTGCTTACTTCAGTATTTGTTGTGCATGGAGTATCTTTTTCCATCCCTTTACTTTCAGCCTTTATGTGTCTTTACATGGGAGTTCAATTTCTTGTAGGCAGCACATAGTTGGGTCCAGTATTTTTTATATATCCAACCAATCAATATCTTATTAATGGAAAATTTAACTCACTTCCATTTAAGGCCATTATTGATATGTGAGGGCTTATTTCTGTTATTTTATTAATTAGTTTTTGGTGGTTTGCTATATCCTTTGTTTCTGTCTTTCTGTTATTGCTTATATTGTGTTTGGTAGTTTTTTGTAATGGTAACAGTTGAGTTATTTGTCTTTCTTATTGTGTGTTTGTGCTACCATTGGATTTTATACTTTTGTGTGTATTCATTACAGTAGATGTTCTCCTTTCATTTTCAGATTTCAGACTCTCTTAAACATTTCTTGTAGGGCTAGTCTAGTAGTAATAAATTCCCTTGGCTTCTGCTTGTCTGAGAAAGAATTTATTTCCTCTTCATGTATGAAGAATGTATTTGCTGGGTGTAGGGTTCTTATAGCTGTTTCCTGTTCTCTTTCAGCACTTTGAATATATCATTTAATTCTCTCCTGGCCTATAGGGTTTCTGTTGAAAAATCCACTTGTTTCTCTGATGTAAGTTATCTTATAACTGACTGGATGCCTTTCTCTTGCTGCTCATCTTTTGAAAGGGGCACCAAAATTTTGAATGTTTGATTGCTTTATGGTGTGTCATGTGTCACGTAGGCTTTGTTTATTCTTTTTTATTATTTTAAACATTTATTTGCATTTGACTGCATTACTTAAAAAGACCTGTCTTGGAGTTCTGAGATTTTTGTCTTCTGTTTGATCTCCTACATCATTGAAATTTTGAATGTATTTTGTATTTCATTTAAATAATTCTTCAGTTCCAGAATTTCTGTTTGGTATTTTATGATATCTATCTCTTTGGTAAATCTCTCATTCAAATCCTGAATTGTTTTTCTGATTTGCTTGCATTGTTTTTCTGTATTCTCTTGTATCTCACTGAGCTTCCTTAATATGATTATTTTTATTTTTTCTGGGATTTTACAAATTTCTTTTTAATTAGGATCTTTTCCTGGAGAATTATTGCATTACTTTGGGGACATAATATTTCATTGCTATTTCATGTTTTTGTGTGTTTGTGCCTTTACATTATCAGTGCATTGGGTGTAAGCATCTTTTCTTCAATTTTTTGGAATTTGCTTTCACTGGGGAAGACTTTTTTGAAGATATGTGTATGGTGTTGGTTGTGTAAGGCACTTTGGGTTTGCGTCTAGGTGCATACATTAGTGTAGTCTTCTCTGTTTGATTTCTTTGGCTGTAAATAGCATCAGTAGTGTCTGCAATTTCCACCAGTGCTAGTGAAGACTGTGATGAATTTTTTCTGAGGATAAGGATGCAGGAGAACCTATCCTTAGGTCCAAGTGGTAGCAGTGGCACACCAAGCATGCTTGTCCTTGGACCCCAGGGTTGCATACACTGACACTGCTGTTGGTACATCCAGATGGAACAATTTGGGGACCGCTAAGAGTCTTACTCATATGCCAGTAGTGGCACAAGTGTTCCAGGCAGGTGGGTGGGTTCTCAAGCCTCTGGGTGCTACACAGGCAATGGCATTAGCAGTGTCTGGACAACCCTCTGGCTCTCAAGTGGCCCACACTGGTGCTGGTATTAGCCATGACAAGCTGAGTGGGACAGTCCCCAGGCCTACAGGTGGCACATGCAAGTGGGTAACAGCTGTTAAACAGTAGTTGCAGGCTGAGTGGCCCCAACCTCAGGCCCCTGAGAGGAGTGCTCAGATGCCAACAGTGTGTTAACTGGGCTGGGTGAGCCCCAGGCCTCTGGACAGCATGCTCAGGTATTGGTGAGACAGAGTGAGGCCAGGCAGACCTGTCCTCTGGTCCCTGCGTAGTGCATGCAGGCACTGGCTGTGGTAGTTAGTGCCAGGATATTCCCCAAGCCCCTTGTAGAATGCTTAGCAGCAGCTGTGCTACAGCACTGATAACGGAGAGAACAGTTTTTGTTTGTTTGTTTGTCTGTTTGTTTTTAAGGTTAAGCAGCTATATACAGATCACTGGAGTAACATACACTTCACATGAGCTTTGGCCTTGACAGCAGCAAGCAACACCATGGCAGCTGCAAGCAGAGAAGTTTGTCTTTGGGGCATGTGAGAATGCATGATACCTTCACTGGTGGAGACAGCAGGATTGTTGTCAGTGGTTCATGCTTCAGCCCTGGTGACAAGAGCCAGCCACAGTTGTGGCTGCTAATGAGGAATGTCAATGTGCTGCAGGATTGTGGAGATAAGGGGCTCTTGAGCTCCTGGACAGGATGCAGTCTGGTGGGAGCTGGGCTCTTAATATGGCACCTTGCTGTAGCTTCTCAGGACTTGGGAGGTATGTGGGACCCAGTGTGACCTCCCTCTCTGGGGCAATACCTTTGCATCATCTTTAGGTGGTTTCCTATGTTAGTCTCAGTGCCTGTGCCTGTGAGTCTAGGAGCTCTTCTGTGGCTAGGACTGCAGGAGTCCACAGTGGGAATGTGGAACACTGGGGGTCTCTCACAACTTCCTCCCATTGGGAAGCATCTCTGGACTCCCAGCTGATCCCAGATGAGCGGGCTGCCTCCTTTTCCTCTCCTTTCCTTTAGGTATATCCTGTCACTTTTCTGTTCCTGTCATTGTTCTCTCTTAAATGATCTATTCAAAGTGTGATTGTCTACTCACATTTTGGTTTTTCTTTATGGAGGTGGTAGATACCAGATGCTTCTAGTCAGCTAGTGAGTATCTTACTTTTTTCAATTCATTTTGTATGTTTTGCTATATCTTCTCTTTGCTTGCCATTTGTCTACCTCTTTGTAAGTTTTAAAATAAACATTTTGTTTTTATTATTAATGTTTATCTATATCTTTTATTATAATATATAGTAGTCAACATTAATTTATTTTATTTTCAAAATTAATATTTGATTTTATATTTGTCATTTTTCTTTGCAAATTGAGTTATTTACTAGATGAGAGGACAGTGCAATTCAGCCTTAACCAAGCAGGCTTTGAAATCGGACATGTGTTGTGATTCAACCTCTGCTAATTCCACCTTGGATGAATTACTTATCTTTTCCAAACTTTGTTATTTAAATAATGTTGATGAACTCACCTATCTTTCAAGGTTGTTGAAAGGATGAAGTGGAATGAACCATATGAATTTCTAAATGCACAAAGTAGCATATCCAAAGCTGTTAATAAATAATGTGTATTATCACTATTGCAGTATTTAAAATCATCACCCTATTTAACATTGTCACATTTTGTTTTCTTCTTCTCATCTTCTTCAATTTAGTTTAGATTGTAAAAATATTATTAGGGACTTGAAATCAGTTTCATGGCTTTCGTTTCAGTGATCACCTTGAAAACCTTATTTTTCAATATTTTTATTTCTGTATTTTTAAATTATTAACATTTTATATTTTCATCATCCTTGAAAGTCCTCTTTTTACTGAGAATTCACACAAATTAAAATTGTGTAATGTTAATTATTTGGGAGAAGGAGTATAATGAAATTTCTTTTAAATTTTTTCTCTATTATCAAATACCAGGCACTAAACTTAGACCACTGTATGCCCATGCCAGTTAAATATTCAACATTATACTAAGATTTATATTATAAAGTTTTTTGAAGATGTTATCCATTTGTTTTTTGTTTTTGAGATAGAGCCTTGCTCTATAGCCCAGGCTGGACTACAGTGGCACAATCTTGGCTAACTGCAACCTCTGCCTCCCAAGGTCAAGCAATTCTCTTGCCTCAGGCTCCTGAGTAGCTGGGATTACAGATGTGCACCACCATGCCCAGCTAATTTTTGTATTTTTAGTAGAGACAGTGTTTTGCCATGTTGGCCATGCTGGTCTCGAACTCCCGACCTCAGGTGATCTGCCCGCCTCGGCCTCCCAAAGTGCTGGGATTATAGGCATGAGCCACTGCACTGGCCTGTTTTTGTTTGTTTGTTTGTTTGTTTTTTATTAAATCTGATCATTGTAACAAAAGCAGGTAAACCTAAAATACTATATTGTTTTCTCTTCTCATAATTTAGTTAAAAGAAAATTGTTCACTTAAAGCAAAAAGCGTAACAATGTCAGTTAGGGTTTATAATGATAAGCAACTATTGCATAGAGGAGAAGGCAATATTGAATGGGTAAATTAAATTATACTCTTATAAGGTTATTACATTTGTGATGTGGGAAGCATCAAGATAAAGTCTAAAGCATCAGAAGGTACAATAGAGCCTAAAGAGTTAAAACTGCATTATTGCTAGGCCTAGCTAAGAAATCAATAGAGGAAATAAAATGGTCACTAAAACATTTTTTTATGAATCCAAGCAATTCATTAAGGAAGCAACAGAAGAACAACAAAGAAGGGACAATTTGAAAATATTTGGTTGTATTAAAACCAGACATGTCAATGATTTCATTAGTAACGTAAGTGTACTAAATGCCTTAAATAAAAGCAAAGATTGTCACGCTGAAAAAAAGGGCAAGATCCAACTTTTTCAGTCTACAAGAGATGCATTTTATCCTTAAATAACAGATGAATTTCAAGTATAAGGGTGAAAAAACATATCATGCAAATATAGTAAGCATAAAAAATAACCTGGCATGGCTATGTTAGTTAAAGCCAAAGTAGACTTAATGCAAAAAGTATTAAGGGAGAAAAAGATAAAAATTACATAGTGATACAGGAAGCAATGCGCCAGGAAGACAAGAAGTTTCTAAATAGCTCTTCACCAGATAAAAGGTAATCAAAATTCATTCGCTGAACTCTCAGAACTAAAGGAATAAATACATAAATCATCAAGGATAGCCAGATATTTTAACATCCTTGTTTCAACAATTAATGCAACTACTTGACAAAAAAATTAAGAAGTATATAAAAGAACTAAACAACATTATCAACCTGCTAGATCTAATTGTCATGTATAGAACTTCCCAATCAAATTCCATAAAATCCACATGCTTTTCAAGAGCCCATTGAATGCTCTTCAGTAGAGACCCTATGCCTGACCATAAAATAAATCTCCATAAATTTTAAGTTAGAAACTTAGAAAATACTTTCTGAAAAATTAAATTAATAATCAGTAACATAAAAATATTTATAAAATCTTCAGACACTTGCAAATCAAAGTTTTTAAATGATCCATGAGTCAAACAGAAAATTTCAGTGATGATGATCCGTAAGTCAAATAAAGAATTTCAGTGGAAATGTGGAATATTTTAAACTAAACGAAAATGAAAAAAGCAAGCATATCAAAATCTCTAAGTAGTAGATATAGCAGTTACAGCTTTAAAATGTCTATGTTAGAAAAGACAAATGCTTCAAAGCAATAACCTATACTTTCACCTTAACTTTGAAGTCAAAAGAACCTATGGCAATTTCTGAAGTAGAACAATAGAGGTAATAAATAGCAAAAAACAATATTATAGAAAGCACAAATTATAAAAAAAGGAATGTCAAAAGCTAGATTTTTAAAAAGATATATAAAAGTAGTTAACATACAGAAAGAAAAACAGAGAACAGCTTACGAATAACTAGAGTGAAAGTAAAAATATCAGTACTTATTCTACAACATCAAAGAATACTTAAAAAATGTTATAACCACTCTCTGCTAATAAATTCTACAGAGCAGATGGAAGGAGAAATTCCTTAAAAACAAATTACCAAAATTGATGGCAGAAGAAATAAAAAGATCTGAATATCCTAAATTCATTATATAAATCAAAGTTGTTTTTAACAAAATTACCAACAAATAAATATAAATGAATTTGAATGTTTTAAACAAAGAAGAATAAAATATCAATTTACTTAAACTTTTCCAGAAAGTAGGGATAGACACTTCCCAACTATTTTATGAGGTCAGCATTACCCTTACACACAAAGTCTGACAATAACAATACAAAAAAAGAAAAATTAAAACCACTATCCTTTAAGAAGCTATATGTAAAATCTAAAAAAAATTAATAATTAAAATCCATAAATAAATAAATATCTACATGTGGATATCTAGATATATAAAATGAACTGTGACTTTTAGTGGAACTTACATCAAAAATACAAAATTTTTGCAATATTCAAAAAGACATCAATAAAATATAGTGTATTCTCAGAATAGAGGAAAAATGTTATTTTTGATCAATTTAATAATATTAAAAAAATAAGCTCTTGACAAAATTCAATATGGATACACTATCAAAAGTATCAGCAAACTAGATAAACAAAGAAACTTCCTAAGCCTGAACAAAGCCATTAAAAATAAGTCTATACCTAACACCATTCTTAAGGGTAAACGACTGAATTATTTCCCATGTGATTAGAAATAAAGTAATACAGCAGGGTGCAGTGCCTCACGCTGGTAATCCCAGCACTTTGGGAGGCCAAGGTGGGTGGGTCACCTAAGGTCAGGAGTTTGAGACCAGCCTGGCCAACATGGCGAATCCCCTTCTCTGCTAAAAATACAAAATTAGCTGGGTGTGGTGGCGCCTGTAATCCCAGCTACTCGGAAGGCTGAGACAGGAGAATTGCTTGAACTCAGGAGGTGGAGGTCTCAAAAAAAAAAAGGAAAAAAGAAAGAATGTAATACTATCTACTCTTACCATATCCATGCAATAAAGTAATCATCATCATCATCATCATCTGAAATAAAGATAATTACTATTATTACTGTTAGAGGCTTAAAGATTGAAAAGACATAAAACTCTTAGCTTCTATTCTTGATAACTCCAACACAATTCTTCAGTAGAAAATCCTTGGGATTTTTTTTTTTTTTAATCCTGGAACAAACAAATGAATTTAGCATGGTTACAGGACATAAAGTAAATATTCAAGAGTAAATTTTATTTCTTTATATTAGAAGCAAACTTTTCAAAATATCATTCACGTTATCCAAATGTGAAGTACTTAGAGATAAATTTAACAATATATGTGCATGACCAGTACAATAAAAAGGCATAAATCATTACTTAGAGAAATAAATACAATCTAAATAAATATAAATGTATGCCATGTTCATAGATTAAAAGACTTGAGTACATTTTCTCAATATCGATCTATAAATTCAGCTCAATACTAATTGAAATCTCAACGGTAATTTTTGTAGGAATTGCAAAGTAGACTGTGAAATTCATGTGGAAACACAAAGGACTTCAAATAGTCAAAATAACTTTGTAATAGTATAAAAAGCCCAAGGATTGATACCATCTGACTTAAAGACTTATTCTAAATTATTAATGATCAATATAGAATAATATCAATATAAGAACTGACATGTAAATAATTGAAACAGAATAGAGTACAGAAATAGACATCCTCATATATAGTTAATTGATGTGTAGTTGGGTGACTAATTTGGTAGAAAATACTAGCAATTTCAACAAATTATATTGAAAAAATTAAATATTTCTAAGTATATAAAATTGGTTTTAATTGACTTCTACCACGCATCATATGTACAACTGAACTTACACGCCTAAAAGAAAACTTAGGAGAAAAAATTTTCAACCTTTGTTTGGACAAATATTTCTAATATGCTACACAAAAATTATATAACATTAAAAAATTAAGTTCAGCTTGACCAAAAGTAAAATCTTCTACATTTAAAAAGATGTGCCATCTAAAAATAAAAAGACTAAGTACTAGATGACAAAAATTCTTAGCATATATATCTGAAAAAATACTTAAGCCCTGAATATAGAAATAAATAATATAACCTAATATTAGTAAAAAACATAAAGCAATTTTAAAATGAGCAAATGTATTAAACAAACACTTCATTAAAGAAGATATGCAAATGGTAAATACTACATAAAAGAATGTTTAATAACATTAGTCATCTAGGAAGTGCAAATTAAAACCCAATGGGATAACATTTCATGCTTACTAAATTGGCCACAATTAAAGTAGACCTGGAATACCAATTCTAGACAGTATGTTCCAACTGCTATCTCATGTGCTGTGGAAGGAGTGTAAAATAGTGCGATCATTTTTGAAAACATTTTTGACAGGTTTTCATAAAGTTAAACATACATTTAGCATAGCAGTATGTCTTCTAGGTATTTACCCAAGAGACACGAAAGCATGAATTCATAAAAACCTTGCATGTAAATGTAAATAACAGGCGCATGTATAACAGTCCAAACTAATAATAACCCAAATGTCCATTAAAAGTGAATGGATAAACAAACTGTGGTATATCCATTGAATTGATACTACCCAGCAAAACTAAGAAAAATAACTATGCTTTTGATCAAAAGAAACTGCACACAGGAGTCCAAACTGTATGATTACATTTATATAAATTCCAGAACGGGCAAAAGCAATCTATGTTGATGGAAATCAGATCAATGTTTCCCTGGTTTGAGGGATGAGGATGAGAAAGAATGAATAAATTTTCTACAGCAATTGAACTGTTCATTATATTGATGGAGTTGGTGGTTACATCAGCATGTTGCAACTATGAAAAGTACATTAGTATGTACAACTGTATACTAAATGTGTCTGAATTACATTTGTGTATAAATTATACCTCAATAGATCACACATACACACACATATGCACACCACTAGGCTGGACTTGTGACATGGTGACACTTTCCCTACCTACCTAAGACAAGAGTTAAAGTGAATCCAGGATCTCACTTTTCTATAACCGAACTGATCTGTGTGTTTTTATCCTATTCCTATAGTTTAAAAAGTCAGAAGCAATCCCATAGCCACTTAGTCTTCACGACCATACGAATATGTTTTCATAGGTTCATGAGTGGCTGTGTTTGTGTTCATTCATTTTTAATTGGCTTTATTTTCTGATTTTACATTCTGGATTGGGAAGAGACCTATCTGGAAAGTGGCATCTGCCCAAGGTTCAGGAAATATGGATCTTCCATGGAGTAAGACAAATATTTTCCCATGTGATTAGAAATAAAGTAATACGGCAGAGTACTGTGGCTCTTGCCTGTAATCTCAGCACTTTGGGAGGCCAAGGCAGGTGGATCACCTAAGGTCAGGAGTTCCAGACCAGCCTGACCAACATGGTGAATCCCTGTCTCTACTAAAAATACAAAAAGCAGCCTGGCATGGTGGCGCCTCTAAGTCTTTTCCTTGTCTTACTCCATGGGAGTAAGATTCCTGCATATATGGAGTGCAGGTTGATTTGTAGCCTCTGAGCAATTTCCAACTTTTTTTTTTTTTTTTTTTTTTGAGACGAAATCTCGCTCTTGTTCCCCAGGCTGGAGTGCGATGGCACAATCTCGGCACACTGCAACCTCTGCCTCCCTGGTTCAAGCGATTCTCTTGCCTCAGCCACCCGAGTAGCTGGGATTACAGGCGCCTGCCACCACGCCCAGCTAATTTTTGTATTTTTAGTTGAGACAGGGTTTCACCATTTTGGCCAGGCTAGTCTTGAACTCCTGATCTCAGATGATCCACCCGCCTCGGCCTCCCAAAGTGCTGGGATTGCAGGTGTGAGCCACTGTGCCTGGCCTGCAATTTCCTACTTCTTATAGAACATTACAATATCTGTATCTCTTCCTTTGGAATAGAAAATTTGATGCTCTTATTTATTTTCCAAACAAAAAGTGTGTGGTAAAGTGGACATTTTTACCACACTTCTTCATCTACAATCTTTAGTGCATCATATGCAGGAACTTTTCCTTCCAGAAAGCAAGAGACTATTACCAAGATTTTTTGGGGGGATGCTCTGTGAATGGTGTTCTTCTTGGAGTTAGCTTCTCTGGCTTGATCTCAGGTAGCAAATCCTAATTTTTAAAAAGATAAACACAGTTTTTAGACTTTCAACAAACAGCCACCATTAAGAACAAGGACCAGTTTTCAAGATGCTTCGTAGTATTTGCTTTAAAGGCAAAAATGAACTCATGGTAGGGGAAAAGCCATGCTTTTCTTATTCTTTTTTCATTTTGAGACAGAGTCTTGCCCTGTCGCTCAGGTTGGAACGCAGTAGGGCAGTCTTGGTCACTGCAACCTCCACCTCCCAGGTTCAAGTGATTCTTCTCCCTCAGCTTCCCCAGTAAGTGGGACTACAGGCGCTCCCCACCATGCCCGGCTAATTTTTGCATTTTTAGTAGAGATGGGGTTTCACCATGTTGGCCAGGCTGGTCTCAAACTCTTGACCTCAAGTGATCCACCCGACTCGGCCTCCCAAAGTGCTAAGATTACAGGTGTGAGCCATCGCACACCGGCTGGTTTCCTTACCTGTTAAGGATAGTGAATTTCTTCTGTTTGAGAAGGAAGTCTTTATGGATCAAACATTGTCTTTTTTCCTTCTGGTGTGCCATATATGATTTTTCACTGTTATATAATGACAAAACCATCCATAAAGCACCTATTATGCAGAGAAGACAGGACATTAGCCTGGGTACATACCCCTCCATATTTTTACTTTAGTGAGTATGAATATTCTTTAATTATCTCCTCTTTAATATTCTTTGTTTTATTTATTTAAAGATTCTGTTTTCAGGGATTCTGTGTGAGTCAGTTATGAGACTCAAACAAGTAAATGAAATTCTGCTGTGATGAAGTTCCACAATATTGCTACTAATAGCAACTCACATATATTGAACTTAAATTATATATGTTGCCACATTCCAGCCACTATTATTCCAAATCTAACTGATCCCACATAAAACCACAAAGATGATTTTTCTGTTTTCTCTCTCTCTCTGTCATTCTGGGAAAGGGTCATATAGGGAAAGTTAATTTTGGCTCTGGTTTGCTTATGGGAATGCAATTTAAATGATAGCAAAGACATTAGCGAAACTGAAAATTTGGGGAAAATTTGGGGAAGTTAACTAAATTCCATGTTTATAAATTAAAGATGATAATTCCTACCCCACAGACTTACTACAAAGAATACTTGAGATAAATTCTGTATGGCATTTATTACAATAATTAGCAGTATGGGTAGAACTGCAAACATGATATTCTTTCCTCTTTCTCCATTATTAACAGTAAAAGTTGTACTTGATGGATCCTATTTACCATTATGATATAAAACTAAGAAAATATCCCTTTATATCCAGAGATACTGATAGAAAAGCTATTTTATTTTCAATTTCTTGAGAAAGAAAACATAGTGTCACTTTATTCAAATCACACCCATCACTCATATCTTAGGAAGTAAAGTTTTTGTTTTTGTTTTTGTTTTTGTTTGAGACGGAGTCTTGCTCTGTCGCCCAGCTGGAGTGCAGTGGAGAGATCTCGGCTCACTGCAAGCTCCGCCTACTGGGTTCACGCCATTCTCCTGCCTCAGCCTCCCGAGTAGCTGGGACTACAGGCGCCCGCCACCACGCCCGGCTAATTTTTTTTGTGTTTTTAGTAGAGACGGGGTTTCACCGCGTTAGCCAGGATGGTCTCGATCTCCTGACCTCGTGATCTGCCCGCCTCGGCCTCCCAAAGTGCTGAGATTACAGGCATGAGCCACCGGGCCCAGCCATCACAGCATAGACTCAGTTTGGTCCCCCAATGGCACAGAGTTCCTCTGTAACTTTATGATATGTGAAAGTGGACTGTTTATACTGCCAGCTGCTAACATGTCCCACATTTGTGGACCCGTACATGAATGGCTTTCTTTTGTTCTCACTGGAATGGAAAGACCCCCAACAAAGTAAACCATTGGCATATATGTCAAAAGCTGTGTCATTAAGAGTTTTCAAATGAAGGAATACTATGCAGCCATAAAAAAGAAGAAAATCATGTCCTTTGCAGGAACATGGATGGAACTGGAGGCCATTATCCTTAGCAAACTAATGCAGGAAGAGAAAAACAAATATCACATGTTCTCACTTATAAGTGGAAGTGAAATAATGAGGACACATGGACAGAAAGAGGGGAACAACAGGCCCTAGGGCCCACTTGAGGGAAGTGGGTGGATGGAGGGAAAGGTTCAGGAAAAATAAAAAAATCTGTTGGGTACCCAGGTGAGAAATTAATCTGTACAACAAACTGTCGAGTCATGAGTTTACCTATATAACAAACCTGCACATGTACCCCTGAACCTAAAATCAAAGTTAAAATATTTATTTAAAAAAGAACGCCCAGGCTAGGCATGGTGGGTCATGCCTGCAATCCCAGCACTTTGGGAGGCCGAGGCAGGCGGATCACCTGAGGTCAGGAGTTCGAGGCCAGTCTGGCCAACATGGCAAAATTACATCTCTACTAAAAGTACAAAAAGTTACAGGGCATGGTGGCACATGCCTGTAATTCCAGCTACTCAGAAGGTGGAGGCATAAGAATCGCTTGAGCCCGGGAGGTGGAGGTTGCAGTGAGTCGAGATTGCCTCACTGCACTCCAGCCTAGCCTGGGTACTCTGTCTCAAAAAAAAAAAAAAAAAAAAAAAAGCCCAATGTAGGCCCTATCTCATTTCTTCATGCTAACGGGAAATATGGTGTAATTTTCTTTATACAAGACCAACTTGGATCCTAGTTCTGATTGACACCAATATAATCATTGTAATACAAAAAACACAAAGAGGATTCCAGTTTAGCCAAACTTGTATTATTAAGATACAACTAAGATATATTTATTATAGTATTACCGAAGTAAAACTCAAGACTGATTACAGGTTCTGGAGGTATGTTTCAGTAGAGTATGTGTCAATCTGGAGAGAATTTCAATGTATTTACTTTTATATATAAACCTATTATCAACGATAGAAGTGTAAATACTGTGATTTATTGCATGTCTTTATCTTCATTTATTTTAACTGCTATGAAACTCTGTACTTTCTCTTTCACTTTTACCCCTTCTATTAACTTCTCCTATATAGGTACAGAAAATATTTTACAGATTGTTTATCCATTCAATTGTGGTTTTATTTGGCCTTGTCTGAGTGGGATATCCTAAGCCCTCAGTAAAAAAAAAGGGGAAACGTTTCAGCCTCTTAAAGCATGAATTGAAATTGTTCCATCCTCTTCAGATATTCTGAGTGATGGCAAAAAGTGTTATCATCAAGCACCATTGGTTCAGTTCTATACTAATGTGATTTGAATGGACTGAAGGTATATTTTTATATTGTAAATATCCAGTCCTTGTCTTCTCCAGAACTAGGTAGAAACAAAACAAGATAATAATTAAAATGTTTCCTAGATAAGCAGATCTCTAAACCTATATATTAAGTAGTGAACTTTTTAGATGTTTTCCTGTTGGCCAAAATCTTAGAAAATTAAAGGAATGTAATGTTGTATCTGTAGAAAACAATAGGCATCTCCTAGAAGAGATGCATTTGAGAAATTCACTCTCATGGCAGTATCGTTTGAGAAAAATGACATTTAAGATTGATGGAATGTAAGTTTAGGCTTGTACAACATTACAAGTGAAATGGGAAAATGTTACCAATTTTAAAAAGTATATGTTTTGCTCTCATTTAGCAATATTAAAGAATGCTGCTAAAATAATAATTGCCAATTATTGAGTATTGAATAATTTATTAATGCAATTCTAATTACTCTTTATACATACTCGTGTATGTATTTGTGTATGTGTATATGTATATATATGTCTGTGCGTATAAACAGACAGATACATATATTTCTCAAAATCACGCAGCTGCTCTATAACAGAGGAAGAACCGGAACTTACAACCAGATCTGTCTATACCAAGCACCTATCACCAATAGATACTTGAGTCGTTATCTATAACATAGATTATAGGTAACAGACACCTCTGTTATAGGTAACGACTCAAGTATACTCTACTCTTTCCACCAGGTAATTTATACCATGTGTCATTCAGTTTCCATTATAGGTGCGGGATCTTTGTTTGACCAATCTCTTAGATTTGTCAGAGATCCCCTTTAGTGCTGTGGTTGTCCGTGGTACACAGCGATTGCACTTAGAAGCTGAGTGGAAACTTGTGGTCCAGGCTTGGTATTAACAGTGTGATGATTCTGTTCACAAGGAGACAGGAGAATTCTGCTCTGCCCTGGCTGCTTGTCCATCTGATCAGTTTCCTCAAGCCAGTCCTCCATGGGGCCAGTCTCTTGGCATGTCCAATGCCACTCCTGTACCCTTTCTTTGGCTCAGGCCCACTAGTCTTCTACTGTATATAATAATATTGCAGTAAAAGTCTCCAGTCGTGGTATCTTTGAAAATAACAAGGAATAAACTTAGGTTTTGGTATGTTAGATAACTAACCTGATTTCTGGCAGCCAGAAGCTCTTCATGTTTCCATGAATTTGAGTGAATTTTAGTGGGACATCCGCACAGGACAAATACCACTCCTGGAATCCTTGAATAACACTGGGTGCTTTCAGGTCCCTGGGGAGGCAGCCCTGATCAGTCACCACAAATGTGGTTGCAAATATATTAGGTTCCAATGATAGAAATGCAAAGAAATTTTGGTGACCAGTTATACGTGTAATCCCCAGGAAGGTTACCCATGTAACCTCTGTCTACTTAAGTAGTCATGTCTTCTACTTAATGCAGTTGCTTCAAATGGATTTGCATTATATGCACCTGCTATGCCTAGCATCTTTTGGGGAGGGTGCAAACAAATAATTGAAAAATCAAAGAAAAAAAAAATGGAACCAGAAAGGTAATAAAGTTTTCTTTTGTTGATTAATTCGGGGCACTGTTCATGACTTCATTCATACTTTTTTTTTTTTTTTTTTTTGTGACAGAGTCTCCCTCTGTTGCCCAGGCTGGAGTGCAGTGTTGTGATCTCTGCTCACTGGAAACTCCACCTCCTGGGTTCAAGCGATTCTCCTACCTCAGCCTCCCAAGTAACTAGGATTACAGGTGTGTGCCACCACACCTGTTTTTTTTTTTTTTTTTTCTATTTCCAGTCGAGACAAAGTTTCACCATGTTACCCAGGCTGGTCTTGAACTTCTGACCTGAAGTGATCCACCCGCCTTGGCCTCCCAAAGTGCTGGGATTATAGGCATGAGCCACTGTGCCTGGCCCATCCATACATGTTTTTATGGAAAATGATGGTATATTCAAACAGAGGAATTGAGTAAAGTTTAATGAAAGACTATTTATGAAGGTGTCTGTGAGGTTGGTAGAACTAGGGGTGGTGTGTTGACAGGGACAATCAATGTTGAGAAGCCCTTAACACCCCTCATTACACCTAGGATCCGATTTTCCAACCATATTCTTGTCAACCAGAGATCTTCCCTAAATAATGTTATGGAGACTGGCAAACATATCCAAAGACTTATACTAAATAGAGATCTGAGAAGTCGGGGGTTTCTTCCCAGGTCCTTCCTTCCAGTCCTGCCTGTATTAGACAATTTTAGCTTTGCAAATTCTTTTAAATTTGCCCCATTCTTTCTTATTTTCATGTTATCATCATATTCTTTAGAAGTTATTTTCCTACACTTTTGTAATAACTGTGTCTCAAGGATAACCTCATATAAATCCATTCTGCTATATCAAAAACAATGCAAATAATGACCACAATATCATTTATCAAGTTCTAACTATGTGTCAAGCACTTTGATACATGCTCTAAAATTTTATTAGTACTGATACTTAAAAAAAGACTCTCTGATAGAAGTATTATTAATCCCATTTTAAAGATGAGTAAGTGAGGCAGTTTTTCAGTATCAGACAACTACCAAGTTATAAAACTAGGCCGTATATTTTGGTCTCACTCTTTAATTAAGGCATAATCAGCAAATGAAAATCGTACATTTTTAAGTGTTTTATACATGGTTTGTGCTTTGATATAAGTATACATTGTATAATGATCCCAACAATCAGATTAATTAACCTATCCATTACCTGGCATACTTACCATTTGCACATGTGTGTGTGTTTGTAGAGAACACTTAAGATCTATTCCCTTAGCAATTTTTAAAAAATTGATACTTCATTTTATTACTGAATAATATTCCATTGTATACATAGGTTACATTTTTTTAAACTTTTTTTTTAATTATACTTTAAGTTTTAGGGTACATGTGCACAATGTGCCGGTTAGTTACACTTAAAAAAATGTAACCTATGTATACATGTGCCATGTATACATAGGTTACATTTTTTTAAGTTTAACTTTTAAGTTCCTGGGTACATGTGAGGTTTATTTACATAAGTAAACTTGTGTCACAGGGGGTTGTTGTACAGATAATTTTGTTACCCAAGTATTAAGCCTAGTACTCATTAGTTATTTTTCCTGATTCTCTCTCTTGCCACCCTCCACCGTCCAGAAGGCCCCAGTGTGTGTTGTTCCGCTCTGTGTGTCCACTTGTTCTCATCATTTAGCTACCATTCATAAGTGAGGACATGTGGTATTTGATTTTGTTGTTGTTGTTGTTGTTCCTGTGTTAGTTTGCTAAGCAAAATGGCCTCCAGCTTCACCTATGTTCCTGCAAAGGATCCCTTCCTTCCCTTTACACTATATGCAAACATTAACTCAAGATGGATTAAAAGTTTGAATATAAAATCCAAAACTATAAAAACCCTGAAGACAACTTAGGCAATACCATTCTGGATATAGGAACGGGCAAAGTTTTCGTGATGAAGATAATGAAAGCAATCACAACAAAAGCAAAAATTGACAAATGGGATATAATTAAATTAAAGGGTTTCTGCACAGCAAAGGAAACTATTAACAGAATTAACAGACAACCTACAGAATGAGAGAAAATTTCTGTAAACTATGCATCTGACAGAAGTGTAACATCCAGCATCTATAAGGAAATTAAAACAAATTTACAAGCAAAAAACAAATAACACCATTAAAAAGTGGGCTAAAAACATGAACAGACACTTTTCAAAAGAAGACATATGTGCAGCCAACAATCACATGAAAAAAAGCTCAACACAACTAATTATTACAGAAATGCAAACCAAAACCACAATGAGATACCATTTCACACCAGTGATAATGACTATTATTAAAAAGTAAAAAAATAACAGATTCTGGCAAGGTCGCAGAGAAAACACTGTTGGTGGATATGTTCAACAATTGTGGAAGACATTGTGGCAATCCTCCAAAGATCTAAAAACAGAAATGCCATTCAACCCCAACCCAACAATTCAATTACTGAGTATATACCAAAAGGAATATAAATCACTCTGTAATAAAGACACATACATGTATATGCTCATTGCAGCACTATTCACAGGAAGAAATTCAAGGAATCAACCTAAATGTCCATCAGTGGTAAACTGGGTAAAGAAAATGTGGTACATATACACCTATGGAATACTATGCAACCATAAAAAGGAACAATATCCTGTCCTTTGCAGAAGCATGGATGGATATAGAGGTCATTATTCATAGCAAATTTCAAGTATAAAATAAACTATTATTAACTATAGTTACAGTGCTATATACAGATCTCTGGAACTATCTTACAACTAAATGTGTGTTAACTTTGATCAATATCTCTCAACTTTTTCCTACTCCCCAGCCCCTGGCAACCACTATTCTATATTCTGTTTCTTTATGTTTCAACTATTTTACTTTCCACCTATAAGTGATATCATGCAATATTTATCTTTCTGTGTCTGGTTTATTTCACTTAGCATAATGTCATCCAAGTTTATCCACGTTGCCACAATTGTAAGAATTTCCCTCTTTATTAAGCTAAATAATATTTCATTATATTTGATATATATCATAACTGTCATACTAATTATAATATGATGAAACATATATTAATGATATAAATCATAATTTCTTTATTAATTTATCCATGAATGGACACTTAAGCTGTTTACATATCTTGGTTATTTTGAACAATAGTGCAATGAATTTTAACATTTTGTTCGTTTCCAATTCTGGATTGGAGATTGATTTAGCTTTCTATCTTTATCTCCTTGGTATCTACCACATTTGCTCTTAATGAACATTTGTTAATTACTGAACAAATATGGAAGCATCTGGAGGCTATTCCATGATTTTTTCAATGAATTTCAGACCCAGCATCACTCCCTTGAAATAGATGTTTACTCTGCAACTCTCCTCCCCAGCATTTACCAGGGTGGTGTTGTAGTGATGTTTGGATGGCACCTTAGTTGTTTGGCTTATGGTCTGGTTTGCAAGATGAGAGAATAAACTGTCCATTTTTGCTCTTATACACTCTCTCTTGAGGTCTCCCTTAGTGGTTAATGTATTTCTTTCAGCTGAAAATATAAACATAAAAATAAATGATCTTATTAGCTTGTAATTTTCATATCCTGGGGTTGCTTTTAGTGCCTAATGGGGAACTTTTTCCTCTAAGAGAAGTCTAAATTGGTTCTGTTGTCCAATATGAGCCATGTGCTCCAGCAAATATCTCTATCAATGATTAATAAGATAGTCCATCAGTAACTATAAGGTGAGTGGAACATTCATTCATACACAGGTACCTTGTCTGTTTTGCCTGCAGTAAATTCCTCTTTTAGGGAATTTTTCAAATTAAGCCTTTAAAGGAAAATAAGTTCTCTAACAATAGCCAAGCATCAAGAAATATTGCAAAATAAAATTGTATTCTGTTAGATATATAATATTCTTACAATGGTCACATTTTATTTATTCTTCTAATATTCTTATTACCTATTCTGTCTGACAGTCATGAATTCAAAGATGTCCTTGTCTCTTATAATTTGCTGAATATAACATTTACCTGTTCTCCAGCAAACAGATGCAAATAAATCTAAGTCAAATTTGATAACATTTGCAAAGTGCCAAGTTCTGTGTTCATATAAAATGAGGGAAAATGTGCTAAGCACTTTAAGGCAGGTCGACAGCATTGTATGAGTGTTTAGAGGAAATGCTGCCTTGAACTGTAGAATAAATATGATGTTTTAAGTCAATAAGACATAGGTTTCAAGCCAGGATATGTATTTACTAGTTGATAACTTTGAGCAGTATGATTGCCTTTGCCTGTTTCCTGAATTTAAAAATCGGAGACAATGTTTGGTATAAAGAATTGTTCTGAAACTTATACATTGTTGGTGGGAGCATAAATCAGTTTAGCCACTGTGGAAAGCAGTTTGGAGATTTCTCAAGGAACTAAAAAGAGAACTAGCATTCGACCCAGCAATCCTATCAATCCTATCACTGAGTATACATACAAAAGAAAATATGAATAAATGTTTCTACCAATAAGATACACGCACTCATATGTTAATCGCAGCACTATTCACAATAGCAAAGACATGGAGGCAACCTAGGTGCCTATCAACAGTAGATTCAATAAAGAAAATGTGGTACATTTACACCAAGGAATACTTTTACAATTATAAAAAAGGAATGGAATCATGCCCTTTGCAGTGATATGGATGCACCTGGAGATGATTAAGCTGAGTGAATTAACACAGGAACAAGAAACCAAATACTGCATGTTCTCACTTACAAGTGGGAGCTAAACATTGAGTGCACTTGAACATAAATATGACAACAATAGACACTGGGACTCCTAGAGGGTGAAGAGAGGATGAGGGGCAGAGCTTGAACTACTAACTATTGGATATTACACTCAATTAATGGGTGAGGGATTCAATTGTACCCCAAAGCTCAGCATCATGCAATATATGCCACATACCCATGTAACAAACCTTCTATGTACCCTCTGAATCTAAAATAAAAGTCAAAACTATATTAGAAAAATGTATGGTCTGAGACTTAAAGAGATGTTATTTTTAAGGAACCTAACAAAGCACTTGGCCTGTAGCAGGTGACCAGTAAATGCTAGATGGAATCTCCTTCTTTCATTTGGGGGGCTAAGAAGATATTTGAATTGGTTTTCGAAGCATGTGTCAGATTTCAAAGTATAGACCATGTTGATAGAAAAGATTTCACAGTATGCTTGTTTGATATCAAGGTTCTCTATTAGTTCCCTTATTTATTAACATAGTAAGTTGTTAGTGTGGAATACCAGATAAGCCTGCAGGTATCCAAGAATACTGCAGTATAATATCTTACATTTGACTTTTACTTGTTCTCACTCTCTCTCTCTTTCTGCCCCACTTAATTGACAAAAGAGAAAGACAGAAGAAAGGAACTGACACAGCTGAGAAAAAATAATTCTCTCTTAAAACATTGTATAAATATTATGAGTCAAGTCATCATTCTAATTATCTTGGTGAGCAAGCATTATAAACCATTCTGTTTGAGAGAGCTCAATAACCATTTATATCACTTTCTTAGAGACATAATAATTGTCCTCTCTTTTCTCATGCCTATGACCCAGTGCCTAGCTTGAACTCGTAACTGTCACACTCGAAATGTTTGCTGAGTTAGTAAATTGGGGATTGGATTTAATTTTCCTTCTCTTCTTAGGTTCATTAAGTGCAAGCCAGTTATACTATTGTCATGTAAAGTCTAAATGCTGTTAATTTCAGATATACATGGTAAATAGGGTGTTTGCATTCAGCCAGTGTTTGGTCTAACTTGCTATCTCTTCAAATGAGGATTGTATGGCCAAAGTGCCTTCAGAACTGAATAATATATTTTTTTTCCCTCTTACAAAAGCAACAACAAACATATAAACTCTCCTTCCTTGGTGAAATGTTTATATGAAAGACATATTGCCTGTGTCTGTTTCTAAACACATATTCCCCAGCCCATTAGCTGTGTATTTAAATATTTTACAGATTCTATTTTTCTACTAATTGACCTTCTGACTAAAGCAATTTGTGATTAGTAAAATAGTCACCAAATTAACGTGTCAATTTAATATGTTTAAATAATTTAATCTGAGCAGTTCTTCTCAGTGGAAAGCTATCTGCTACATTTTAGGAAGTTAGCAAAATGTTGATACTGAAAAGATAGGATAGATAAAAGATAGAAAACACACACAAAGAAACTATAGTAAAATCTCAGTTATGAATACAAATATATTAATATGAAGAAAATCCTAGACAATCCTTCTCATTTGTAGGTACAGGTACATCTATATGATTTCTCTCTTACCAGATGAAGTTTGCTGCCCCTCCAAAATACTTTAGTGTTTTAAAATCTGTCCCTAAACATCTGTGTAGCTCTAGGTGTAACAAGAATAAAAAGGCCAATGTCCATCTCAATTGATGTAATATATTTCTCATAAAGGTTTTTTGTCTGTGTCCGTGTGTGTCAAAGGATGAATATGTTAACTCCTACTTAATAGTACATCATTAGTGACATTCAAATCAAGAAGAACAAAAAACAAATTTGTGCCAATGCAATTTTTAACACTGTTCTGTAAATTCTTAATAATATAATTGGAAAGGAATAAGGAAACCAAAGAGTAATATGAAAAGACAAGTATAAGAATTTACAAAAGATTATATGTTTATATATATAATTATATTTATGTGTTTATATATAATTATATATATAATTTCCATATATATGTTGACATATATATATATATTCACTTGAAAATTAGAGAAAAATAAATATAAACCCAATAAATTCTCACCCCCATAATAGAGGTGGACGTCAATACCACGCCAATTCACCATGTATGGAAATCTGAGGGGGCTAATTGCTAACCTCACTGGGTTCCAGTTTCTAAATTATTTGAAAAGGAGACACTAGGGTCAGATATATAACAATATATATTCTGGTTTATACCTAAACACACATGGAAGTTTCTCCCTGAATGAAACTTGCCTCTGCAAGCATAGTCAAAGCAGCAGGACAAATACTGGCTTCTATCCACTGCTGTGACCATTCTCACAGGCTGACAGAATAGTAGAGGAGATAACATTTATCTTTGACGTCTGGGTAGGCAGGACCTCAGGAATCCAAAAGACAAAAATCACTCATGAGCTCCCACCAAAGAATTTCTCATCATCTTATCACCTGGTGAGAAGGGGAGAGAGAGAGAGAGAGAGAGAGAGAGAGAGAGAGAGAGAGAGTGAGAGAGCGAGAGCGAGAGCCTGAAAGCATAGAGAGCTCAATACTTTTCTGTCTTGGGAGACTGATATGGTTTGGCTGTGATCCCACCCAAATCTCACCTTGAATTGTAATAGTCCCCACATGTCAAGGGTGGGACCAGGTGGAGATAATTGAATTATGGGGTCAGTTTCCTCCATACTGTTCTCATGGTAATGAAAAAGTCTCATGATACCTGATGGTTTTATAAATGGGACTTCCCCTACACAAGCCCTCTCTTTGCCTGCTGCCATATGAGAAATTCCTTGCTGTTCTTTTGTCTTCTGCCATGATTGTGAGGCCTCTCCAGCCACATGGAACTGTGAGTCCATTAAACCTCTTCCCTTTATACATTACCCAGTTTTGGGTATGTCTTTATTAGAAACATGAGAACAGACTAATACAGAGACCTATCAGGGAAAATGGAGTTGGGGCAATAGAAGGTCGACCCAAGCATCCCCTGCTTTTCCACAGAACTCCACTTTGTGCATGGTGAAGATATAAGAAGTGTTGACAATTTTACAAAATTCCCTCTACTGAGAAACAATCAACCATATCCTTACCCAAGAATGGTATCAAAATGTATGGGTTCTTGAGTCCGTCTAACCCTGTGTAATAGATTCAAATGTACATACATTGTTTGATATGTCTCCCATTAAGAGGTGGAGTCTATATCCCTTAACCTTATTTTATTTCTGGGCTAGACCTATGACTCCCTTTTGACCAACAGAATATGGTAGAAGTGAGGCTACATCTTAACTCTTTTGGAATTCTTACTCTGGGAGAAATCAGACATCATATAAGCAATGTGACTACTCTGACATTTCTATGCTGTGAGGAAGCCCAGACTAGTCATGTAGATTGGCTACATGGAGAGATAAAGAGAGAAGAGATAGATAGATAGATAGATAGACGGACAGATAGATAGATAGATGTACACCTGGAAGCCCTGGCTGTGAGAGTCATCCTAGCCAAGATATCAGACAGCTAAGTGAAGAAGAAATATTGGGAATTTGAGACCTAGCAGACATGATGTGGGGAAGAATTGGAGAGAGAGCCAGAACAAGGGCTCTAAGCATATGCTCCCAATGGAGTTGTCTCAGACATTTTCAACTCTTTAAACCATGCCAGCTGAGGCCTTCGTCATGGTGTAAAACGGATAAGCTGTTCCTATTGCACCCTGCCTCAATTCCTAACCCATAAGATTGTAAGTATACTAAAATGAGATTTGCTTCATGCCACTAATTTTGGAGATATTTTGACATATGGTAATAGGTGACCAGAACAGCTGAGTTTCAATCATTGCTTCAGTACTGCTATGGACTGAATTTTCTAACCCCAGAATTCTAACCCCTGATGTGACTGCATTTAGACATTTAGCTTTTAGAAGCTAATTAAGGTTGAATGAGGTCATAAAGGTGGAGCCCTGATCTAATGGGATTAGTGTCCTCATAGGAAGAGATATCAGAATCCTCTCTGTCTCTCAATTCCTTTCTGAGGACAGGCATGGAGAAAAGATCATGTGAGAATAAAGCAAGAAGGTGACCGTCTGCAGGCCAGGAAGAGAGGCCCCACCAGAAACTGATTCTCCCGAACCTTGATCTGAGATTTACAACCTTCAGAACTGTGAACAATAAAATTATGTTGTTAAAGCCACCCAATCTGTGGTATGTTATTATGGCAGTCCCAGCAGATTAATACAACTACCTATTAACTGTGAGATCTGGGGCAATTATTTAAACTTTCTTAGTCTTTATTTTCTCATCTGTAAAATGAGAAAAAAAAGATACTAGTTCTTTATCATGCCGCTGTTGTGTAGATTAAATGAGATAATGTATGTGAAATCCTAAACACAATACCTGATACAGAGCATAAAATAAATTTAATTTAATTATTATATTTCAGTAAGTTATGCTGCTCAAAAACTGAAGAGTCATGAGAAAAAATAGAACCATAACACCAGTAGAATTCATAGTAAAATTTATGCTGAAACCAGAACTACTCTTACTATGGAGTTTGAAGGCAATTCCACATTAAAATAGTCTGAAAAATATGCTTCATGATACCATAACAATGTTTCCATTACATTCTAACAGTTAACAATAGCATTATATTGCAGAATGGCTTTATGCCTCTCTAAAAGGGATAGCATTGTTATTTCATGGGGAAGCTGTGACCTTGGTTTATTCTGATGAATGGAAGAAAGGAAGGAAGGAAGGGGTAAGGAGGAAAGAGAAAGAGAAGGAGGGGAAAGAAAAGTGGGGAAGAAGGGATTCGACCAGGGAAAAGTCATATTCAATGTGAAAATTCATTCGATATATGCATTTGGATCTTGAAAAACAAAGACCATTAGGCTCAGTAATTATCATTTAAAACTTCGTTCAAAATAAATGTAGAAGAGTCTTTTTATAAAAGGATAGTCATTATAGTATTACTATATCAACAAAGCATTGAAAAATCACTTGAAATATTCAACAATAATAATTTTTGGTTAATCTCTCATGAAGAATATTATTATTTCATTAACCACTTATGTTTACATAAAATAAAAATAATTACATAAAAATAAAATAATTTAAAAATCAGTACACGTAATAATAAACGTAGGTATGCGAAGCTTATACATAACTATGATTGGAAAGTAATTACCAAATATTACCAGCAGTTTTCAAGGATTAGCAAAATTATTGGTAACTTGTTTTATCTTTTTCCTCTTCTATATTTCCCAAATTTCTATCATGAATATATACTTATGTTATATTATAAACACATAAACAAAAACCAAACTCTCTCTACTTTCACTTAAGCAGTAGCAACTTGTAGAGTCATAAAATCATTTACTATAGACATTATAAAACAAAACCCTGAGTAAAATTTCCATTGTTATTTTTTCCCCAATAAAACTTATCTCTTGTCTTTGAAAACCTTTCTGACAGCTTCATTGGAGATGTTAAAAAATAAAAAGATTTAAAACAGAAAAAAAATAGATTTTCTCCTTTCTGCATCAAGGTGTGTCGGGAGAAATCTTCAGAGAATTTTAGTGCAGCTCAGATTAATCTTTGTTTTTACTTCCAGATAAATAACTACATATTACTGTCAATCATATTAAGCTATGAGAAAAAGAAGATTCTACTGAGCATATTCTCATATGTTTCATTATTCATTTCCAAGGTATAGCAACATTTGTAAAGAGTTGTTTATCCAATAAACTCTCATGTGGCCCATGCATTACTTGACATCAGAACTTAAAACCATACCTGTTGCTTGAATCAGATGCCTACAATATGCTAGGGGATGGATAGACTTGACTTCATTGATCTGTTTCTATGGCCCCTCTATGCCACAAATCCTCACTTCGAATTAACCTTTCAGCAAACGCAAGTAAATATTTGTAGAGAACTTGCTTGCCTGTCCAGAACTGTGACAGTCTCTACGGGAACAAAATTTCGGGAGAGATATATTGGCTGCTAGATTTTAGCAACATGATTCTGAGATTACTTTGTAAAAATTATTTACAAATTCTTGCTAATATGAGTGCAGAGGAGACAGATAATCTTTAATGAGCATGTCTTTTCTCTGTATATGTTACACTAAAGATGTTGAACTTGTCTTGTGAATGATGTCTTCTTTTTAATTAGTTTTTGTTTTTGAAGGTCAAAGTGTTGCCCTGTCTTTTACAGGGCTACACTTACTTTCTTTTTGTCACTATTTAAAGGTGTCTGAGCAATTAGCCTATCTGTCCATGCTTGTGTGAAATCATACTTATTCTTGCACAACTAGGTACTCAGTCAGGAGCATAGACAGGATCTGATTTGGAAACTGCCTCATAAAAATCTAATCAGAGACCAGCAAGTGATTCTCACAGATGAACAGTGTTAAGACATTAATCTGCATTCATGCCCAAAATGTAGTTGCAAACTGCACTATGGTAAGTCACTTGGAAAAAAAAATGTATTTAGGCACTTTTTACAAGTATGAAAACATTAATGCTAAGATCCCTTTATGAATAAAGACATTTTCTGCAATATTAGTAGGCCACAGTAAGAGAGGAATGTGGCATCGCTACTGCCCTTTCTCTTTCTTTCCAAAGGGATTGGAGATGGGACTTAAGGCTGTTATTATAATATATAGTCTTCCTGATACTCATAGGCACTTCAAAGTGTCCTCCAGAGCCGTTCTTTCTTAATATCTCTAGGATTGAGACAGACACAATGCTCTATGCACTTAGGCCAGGGAATTTGCTTCAAAACCATAGATTACTGTTGTTTAGCTCAAAGGGCTGAAAGTAAGGAAATGATGTCGCTGTTCTTACTCATGAGTTACTATGCTGTTTGTTTTTGGCAATGAGTCCACTTAGCCCTTCTGAGCCTCAGTTTCACTGTCTGTAAAATGAGGGTAACATAGTTGGTAGCGGCAGCATGTGCCTCTAGTCCCAGCTACTTGGGAGATTGAGGTAGGAGGATCCTTTGATCCTGGGCAATGTGGGGAGATCCTGCCTCTATTTAAAAAGATATCTATTTATCTCTTTATCTATCTATCTATCTATCTATCTATCTATCTATCTATTTTTTAAAAATAAAAAAAGGAAGAAAGGAAAAAATAATATAATGAAGATAACTCCTTCAGGCACTCCAGATATTTGCAGATGTAAAATGAGATCTCAGCTTAAAGCCACATTGTAAACTGGGACTCACTATGTCATTGTGAGGGGATTTAATTAGGTTTACTATTAACCTGTCTTCTCCCTGGTACACTGTAGTTATTGGAAGTTATACAAATATTTTAAAAAACGGAAGAACCTCTCACATAGGTATTATATAAGAAAGATTCATTTTGGAGATCTGCTTTCAATAGGGCAGAATGTAATGTTTGCAAACCAAAGTGAAACTGTTTGCTACACTGCATTTCCTTTTTGAGCCCATGCTTGAACCAGCAAGACTCGCTTATGAGCCCTAATCACTGTGGGTGGAGAGCAGAGTGGCTGCATTCTGCCATTGATTAGAATGAGATTCAATTATCAAATGAAGGTTTATTAAAGCATGTGTTTTTTTCACTAGCCTCTTCTCACTACCAGGCAATTCCCCTTCCACAAGAAACACCGCCTCTGGCAGCATTACAGACAATGTTAACTTTTTATGTGCGTGGGGGCTGAACACAATTTCTAGCCAGTATGTGAAAAGTCTGGAAGAAAAACACTCCTTTATAAAAGGAAATGAGTTTTAAGATGGAAGAATGAGATTTCAGTGTGACAGGGGTACAATTTCTTGCCTTGAATAAAGGAACAGAGCACCAATTCCTTCAGAGTTGCAGGTGACCCCAATTCGGATGGAGGATACAAAAGTAATGGCCTTCCTCCACCGTGGAATGGACCCTTCATTTTGAAACCAGGCTGGTGTGCTGATTAGTTCTGCTAAGTGACTCTGAAGAGACCCATTTGTTTAGCACTACATGTAATTTTAAAGGAAAGGACGTGTCAGCAGCAGGGAGGAGAGTCAAATGAGGTCACTCGTGAAATAGCAGGAGAAATCCGCGGGTGCCTCTGCCTTGTTTTATTCTACTCCATCACCACTGACCTCTGCTCCTGAAGACTGATGCACCAGCTAAATGGAACCTTCATTTTCTCATTCCACGAATGACCAGGCCGGCTCCTCAATGCCCTCAGAAACAGATCTTCGTTTCTCTATTGCTGGGGACACCACACTTAACCCTTAATGGCATAAGGCAGTTTTCACCTGCAGAGTCTCCGTCGGTACATGCTGATTCCCTCATGGAAGCTCCGTCTGTTCAAAATTCACATCTCCATTATTATTTTGCTCTCTGTGCATGGTAGGATAAAGTGCATGCCACTCTTGTAGAAATGGTAGAATATCCTAAGCTGACACTTTTGAGGTCCTAAACCTGACAAGCCAAGAAAGTAACTGAGCACACTGACATTTTACAGATTTCTCTCAAACTTAAATTGGTTTTTGACCTTAAAATCAGGTCATAACCTGTCCTGTTTCAAACCAAGCCAATTGAATCAGATGTCATGTAAAAACAGCAATGTAATACATGTTGCATTCTTGACTCTGATACTAACTTTTTTGTGTAAGAAGAGAAAAAATAATCATAATAACAAAAGAAACTCCAAATGGAGAACCACATTGTTTCCTTCTCCACAGTTCTGGTATATTGAAAATGTACCAGTGTCACGGTCATGATCATCTTAATTAGAAGTTTCTGGTATGAGTTTTCCTCCCACCAATTTAATAACCTGTGGCCAAAGACCTTTCCTTATTCATCTCCATTTTCCCAGGGTTGTAGCAGAAGGTTAGTGTGTGGCAAGCACTCCAAAGTTTGAGCTGAATACATACGTATTAAACAGAATATGAGTTTTCAGATTATAAACACACAAATTAAATAGGAAACTGAAGCTACCACTCACATATTTTTCTCTACGTGCTATAACCTTATATTTTTCTGTATAAAACTCTGATCTTTTTTCCCCGTCTGTTATTTACTGCTTCTGGTTATCAGCCTGTGGAGCACTTCTTTGTGGAGGTTATGATGGGTCTCACTGATTCTGGCACTTCTGAGCCACTTAAAAGGGGTTGAGAAATGTAAGTTGTGTGTGGGTCAGAGGGTGGGTAGGTCGGTGGGTGTGTAGGTTCTTTTTAGTTCTCTGTTTTTCTCAGGGAACATTAACCAGAAACAAATATGGGGATTCACAATTAAGTTTTTTATTTCCTTCCTTGTGGCATTCAATCTGTGTTTCAGCATTTGCTGGGCCATGTGGCTTTCATAAATAAATCGTCAAGGATTTGAGAATGGAAATATCCCCAAGATGAGGACTGCCTATGTAAATTCTGTGCATATAAAGGCCACCTTTGTGGAAGGAAAAATAGGCACATAGAGAAGATCCCGGTGTGTAAGATGCCATGGGTAAGAGTCAAATCCAGCATCAGTGACTCAGCAAGTTTAGCAAAATCACTTTGGGCCTCGCTTTCTTTATCTATACAAACGGAGATAATACTTGCTTTGGTAAAAGGATTTGCATGTGTGTGAATTTGTTTTTAGTGGGCTGTAGGTCACAGGGTGGTAAATCTCACCTTGGGGTATGGTTTGCCCCACCTCCCATGGAATGTCCATTCACATTCTAATCTTCCTGGAGTGGTTTATGGAACATTTTCTTTTTCTTGGAGTTGCTCTTGGCTGCCAGCAGCCTCTTCAGGTCCACTGCTGACTGGCGCCTCTTCGGAAGAGAATTTGCTCTTCCTGGGAGATACTCCTGTTGTTTGCCTCTTTGGGATCCCTACCTATTTCTTCCTTGGGTGAAGATTTCTTCTTCCTGGGAAGAACTGTGCTGCCAGTGGCCTCTTCAAGATCACTGCAGATATGATTTGGCTGTGTCCCCACCCAAATCTCTACTCAAATTGTAAACCCTATATTCCCCACATGTCTAGGGAAAGACCTATTTGGAGGTGATTGGATCATGAGCTGGTTTACCCCGTGCTGTTCCTGTGATAGTGAGTGAGTTCTCATGAGATCTGAGATCTGATGGTTTTATAAGAGACCCTTCCCCCTTTGCTGCTCACTCCTCTCTCTCTCCTGCAGACTTGTGAGAAGATCCAAATTTGCTTTGCCTTTGCCTTCCACCATGACTGTAAGTTGCCTGAGTCCTCCCTGGCCATATGGACCTGTGAGTCAATTAAACCTCTTTCCTTTATAAATTATCCAGCTCAGGTATTTCTTTATAGCAGCATGAAAGCAGACTAATACAGCTACTGTCCAAATCCTCCTTAGAAAAATGTGTTTTTTTCTTGGATTTGGAGAAAAAAGTAGATAAGTCTTCCATTCCATTCTCCCAAGGAGCCTCCTGAGGCTTTTTCTTTTTTCTTCTTTTTGGGTTTTTCACTTGTCTCCTGAACCACTGCTTCCTTCATGACATCCTGATTGTTTCATGGAATCTGGATTCCACAAAATTAAATGTTACAATGCCAATGTACTCATTTATCATTTCTTTCAGTATTGTCAGCATTTAGAATACTCCAAGCTTTTTGTGAGTCAAAGAAGTAGTGGCATGGAAAAGCAAACCTGGGACCTACTCCTGTGTAGTTTATGGTTTAGTTGAAAAAAAAAAATATATATATATATATATATGTATGTATCAATCAACTATTGTATAATGACAATCAGAATACATGTTTGGGAGAATGAAAATAGATATTATGGAAACACAGACTGCTCTTATAGAAAAGTCTAAGGAGGCTGACCTGAAAGAGATAACACAGCAGGTCCCCTTTCCCTAAGCTAAGGTGAGGTGTGCAAAATGAATGGACACTTTCCAGATGGATGAGGAGTAGGGAAAGTGCTTCAATCAAAAAGGCCAGCAAGAGTGAAGGCCCCAGCATGGCAGCATGTGGTGGAGGTTGAGAAAATAAATGGGCAATATGGCAGTCAGGTATCAATGGAGGGTGGATGGTTGCCAGGCACAGGCCAGCCCTCGTAGGCTTTGTAGACCATGTTAAGTATTTTAGTCTTTATATCAAGACTGTATAGCAAACTGCTCACTGCCTTTCAAATGCCCTGGCATTATGTTTCTCAGTTCTAAATGGAAACAGAAATGTGTTTCTTCAGTCGTATTTATGTGATTGTTTCAGTCCAACTGAATGATCTACAGCCCAGCCTTTCCATTCTGAGCACTAGTCTTGAAGGAAATTATTGGTGTAACATTTCAAGGCAGAGTGTTCCTGGTCTTTTAGAATCCCAGAATTGGAAAGGTTGTGCACCATCCTCTTCCAAGCGTCCTGTGACTGGCTGGAATGTGCTGAGCACAAGAGGACCATACTCTCATACAGATTTCCTGGGTCCAGATCTTCTTCCTCTGCCGTTTGGTTTCTTCTCCCCTACTATTCTCTGTCTCATCCTCTTTCTGGGAATCCCCACAACATTAAATTGAAAGATCAACCGTAGATCTATTTTATCATTTCTCTATTATGGATAGAAAAGACTGATACATAAGACAAATAGGACACATGAACAAATGAAAGCATAAAGAGGGATTGGGGAAATGAAAATAGAAAGTTGGGCACCAGAAGAATTGACCTTTCAAAATCCTAAACCTACTTAGCTAGCACATCTAAAGAGTTCTATCATTTTAACATTTTTAAGAATGTCCCCTCCTCCCATCTTCACTGCTATTACCCTTGATCAGACTCTCATAATTCTCCCAACAATCTCTGTTGTAGAACTTTGGCCTTGTGTCGATCAAGCTAACCCATATTCCTTATGCTGTCAGTTTATTCTTTCTGCAATACAAAACGGATCCTGTCCCTCCCCTGCCTAACACTCTTTGATAGCTACCTTATAAAATGTGTTGCGTTCAATACATCGATTTATGCTGGTAGATCTGCACAATGAGAGGCTCTAATGGATTACATTATGTGGTGTGGAAGAGCCAGGCATTTCCAGTGCAGTGGTGACTCTGACCTTCATACCTTCTTCTTTTCTTTTCTTTTCTTTTTTTTTTTTTTTTTTGAGAGAGAGTTTCGCTGTTGTTGCCCAGGCTGGAGTGCAATGGCACGATCTCGGCTCACCACCACCTCTGCCTCCTGGGTTCAGGGCATGCGCCACCATGCCCAGCTAATTTTGTATTTTTAGTAGAGATGGGATTTATCCATGTCGGTAAGGCTGGCCTCGAACTCCCGACCTCAGGTGATCTGCCTGCCTTGGCCTCCCAAAGTGCTGGGATTACAGGCCTGAGCCACCACACCCGGCCCCTTTCGTACCTTCTTATGTCCAAACAGCAGTGGACTGCGGCATTGTGTTGGAGCTCACAGGAGTATATTCTATCTTAATGAAGATGATTAACCCTGGAATTGTGCTAAGCACTTAACGTGCAATATTTTATTCTGTTTTCATAACGATGCTTTGAAACATGTGGTGTTATTATCCTGTCAATGAAAAGAGTCAAACTCTAAAATATTTGAAGAGATTTATTCTGAGCCAAGTATGAGTGACCATGGCTCATGACAGAGACCTCAGGAGATCCTGAGAACATGTGCCTGCGGTGGTTAGAGCACAGCCTGGTTTTATGCAATTTTGGAAGACATAAGACGTTAATGAAATGCATTTAAGATGTACAACTGGCTTGATTCAGAAAGGAGGGACAACTCAAAATGGCAGCTTTCAGGCTATAGGTAAATTTTAAAAATTTCTAGTTGACAATTTGTTGAGTTGTCTAAGGACCTGGGATCAATAGAAAGAAAATGTATGGGGTAAGATAAAGGATTGTGGAGTCCAAAGTTTTATTGTGAAGAGGAAAGCTTTTAGCTAGCAGGCTTCAGAGAGAATAGATTATAAAAGGTTTTCTTATTGGACTTAAAAAAGGTGCCTGACTCTTAGGTGATTATCTCCTGAATATGGAAAGAAAAAAAAGGGGAAAAGGGATTCTTTACAGAATGTAGATTTTTTCCCACAAGAGACAACTTTGCAGGGCGATTTCAAGATATGACAAGGAAATATATTTGAGGTTAAATATTTTGATTTCTTTCTTTATTTGTTATGTGATGCTATACAAGGGTCAGGTTGGAAAACAGGCCACATTATATAGGGTCAAATAGACCCCTCTGATGAGACTTTGTGGTTTGTAGGACATGGCCCCTCAAACCCCTTAGGTAGGAATTTGAGCAAGAAAAAAAAAAGTCAGACTTTAGTCCTCAATCCTTACTTTACAGATACAGAAACTGAGGTTCAGGTATTACTAAACTTCCCAGGGTCACACCGCTAGTAAGGGACACAGTCTTAATTTAAATACAGACAGACAATCTCCAGAACATACACGGTTAACCACTGTTCCATGTCCTAATCATTTCTATTTTTTTTTTACTTGTAGACAAAGGTTAATTGCTAAAATCAAACTGGAGGTCGTAAGCCATATAATCAAATATGATTATACCACTTCACAGAAATTATCCCTAGTTTTACTGACTGCAAAATTATTTGACTTGAAATAAGTTGGTAATATGGTTTGAATGTGTCCTCAAGTTTATGTGTTAGAACCTTAATTCCTGAAGCAACAGTGTTGAGAGTTGGGGCCTTTAACAGATAATCATAAGCGTTCTTACCTCCACAAATGAATTAACATTGCTGTTGGATCAGATTAGTTATTGTAGCAGTGGGTTCCTGAATAAAAATATTGAATTTTACCCCCTTTCTGGCTCTCTCTGGAGGACTCTTTTGCCATGTGATGCCTTCTTCCATGTTATGATGAAGCCAGATGAGGCCCCATTATCTTGGACTTTCCAGCCTCCAGAACTTTGAGCTGAATAGAGCTGTATTTATTATAAATGACACAATCTGTGGTAGTCTTATAACAATACAAAATTGATTAAGACAGAAAATTGCTATTGAGACATAGGGCTGTTACTGTAAACAATTCTTGAATATATGGAAACAGCTTTGAAACTAGGTAATAGGGGCTGGAAGAATTTGGAGCAGTAGGCTAGAAAAAGCCTATATTGCCACAAATGGAACATTAAAGGCATTTTCTGGTAAAGGCCTATGCGAAGACAGGAGCTGTAGGGAGACCCTAAATCTTAGGGATTAGTTATGTGGTTGTAATCAGAATGTTGGTAAAAATATGGAATGTAAAAAAAAAAAAAAATTCTGATGATGTGTCCATGAGGGCATGGACAAAATTCTGAATTATGCCCATTATATTCCTTTAGGAATGTCTTATTGGAAATTGGAGTTAAAAACTATCCTTGTCATAAAGGGCAAAAATCTTGGCTGAATTGTTTCCATGCTGTTGGGCTTACAGAAGGTAGAGTTTAAGAACAATGAACTAGGAAATATGGCAGAAGAAATACCTAAAGAGAAAAGCATTCAAATTGCTGCATGGTTACTTTTGGCCACTTACAATAAAGTGAGAGAAGAGAGAAATTATTTAAAGATGAAATTTAAAATAAAAAATGAAGCAGAGTGGAAGGATTTTAAAAATCTGAGCCGAGCCATGTAAAAAATGAAAAAAAAAAAAAAAAAAAAAAAAAAAGTCCGGGTGTGGTGGCTCACGCCTGTAATCCCAACACTTTGGGATGCCAAGGTGGGAGGATCACGAGGTCAAGAGATTGAGACCATCCTGGCCAACATGGTGAAACCCTGTCTCTATTAAAAATACAAAAATTAGCTGGGCATGGTGGCATGCATCTGTAGTGCCAGCTACTCAGGAGACTGAAGCAGGAGAATCCCTTGAATCCGGGAGGCGGAGGGTGCAGTGAGCCAAGATTGAGCCACTGCACTCCAGCCTGGTGACAGAGCAAGACTCCGTCTCAAAAGGAAAAATAAATAAATAAATAATGTTCTGGGGAGAATACTAAGTATGAGGCCAAGTGGCTACTTGCTAAATAGATTAATAGGGATAGAAGGAAGCCAAGTTTTACTCATCAAGACAATGAGAGAATGATCCCAAAGGCACTTCAGAGATCTAAAGACAAGCTGGGACCCTGAGGGAAAGGTTTCCAGAGAGACACCTGTGGGACCTCAGCATCACGATGCCCATAGCCTCAGGACTCTGCTGCACACATCTAGGCACAGCACTCCTTGGCTGCCCCAGATATGGCTCAAGTGAGCTCAGCTGCAGCTCCTGCCCAGCTCCAGAAGTTGCACGTTAAACCTTGGCAACATCCTCCTGGGGCTGACTCTGCAGACGCATAGATTACAGGAGCTGTGGAGTCAAGAAAACCTCCACCTAGATTTCAAAGGATATATCAGACAGCCTGAGGGCCCAAGCAGATGCTTGTCATGGGGCGGAGTCACCACAGAGCACCCTCACTAGGGAAATGCATAGTGGAGTAGTGGGAGTTGGGTAGTCCTGAAGACCACAGAACTGTAGAGCTACCAGCATGCAACTCCAGCCTGGAAAAGCTGCAGGTGGGAGACTCCAAGCAGTGAGAGCTGCTGGGTGGCCTGAGTCCAGCAAAGTCTTAGGGGCAGGTCTGCCTGAGCCCTTGGGGGCTCAATTCTCACCTCAGTGTACTTAGGATGCAGAACATAGAGTTGAGGGAGATTATTCTCCAGCTTAGAACTTGTTTTCCCTGTTTGGTTTTAGACTTATTCAGGACCAGCTACCTCTTTCTTTCTGCCTACTTCTCCTTTTGGAATGAGAATGTCTATCCTGTGCCTGTTCCACCATTGTATTTTGGACACACCTAACTTGTTAATTTCACAGTCTTAAAGAAATTAGCAACGGGATGAATCATGCCTTGAGTCTCACACATGTCTGATTCAGATGAGACTGTGGACTTTGGACTTCTGAGGTGGTGTTGGAGTGAGTTAAGACTTTGGGACTTTTGGAGTAAAATGAATGCACTTTGCATGTGAAAAGAACATAAATTTTAGGAGTCAGGAGCAGAATGCTATGACTTGAACGTTTTCCCCAAGGTTTACGTTTTGGAAACTCAACCCCCAATGCAACAGTGTTGAGAGGTGGAACCTTTAAGAGGTGATTAGGTTACAAGGGCTCTACCCTCATGAAGGGATTAATTCTATTATTGCTGGAGTGGGTTAGTTATAAAGAAAGTGGGTCCCTGATAAAAAGGTTGCGTTTGATTCCCCTGGTTTCTCTCTCATGCACCTTTGCCAGGTGATATGCCTTCTGCCGTGTTATGGCACAGCAAGAAGTCCCTCAGCAGATGCAGCCCTTCAGCCTTGAACTTCCCAGCCTCCAGATCTGTGAGGCAAATAAATTTCTGTTCATTAAAAATTACCTAGCTTTAGTTATTCTGTTATGGTAGCAGAAAACAAACTAAGACATTTGGCTATTACTAGATCCTTGACAACTCTGTTATACTGAAATTCTACTTAAAAATGCTTTGAACAATAGGATCTAAAATTAAGCAATGTCTAACCAGTTGTCAAATTCTCCAAGCCTCTTGATTAGTTTGCATCTTTCAGACAGAATCTTGAGTTAATGCTCATGTTTCGTCCCCTACTCCTCCAGAACAATCTCACCACCCCTTTGAGATTTTGCTAAAATTCCAACACACTGTCTTTCAGGAGCATTATTATATAGTCTTAGTAACATGAACTGAATAAAAATGGACACGTTACAGAGACTTGATTCCTTCAACAGTAATTGGAAATAGATCGAAAAGGCTGAGGCACTAACTCAACTAGCCATTCCATCATCAGCTTGTCTCAGGGTGGTAATAAACTTCTTGGTCTGCTAAATTTATGGAGCAGAAGTGTGAGCACAACCTCCCAGTGGTTCCCATGGCTTTGATCAGGTCAGTAACAGTGGTCTGGAGGTCTGCATGCTGACCATTATAAGCACTATGTGTACTCTCACCAATGTGCTGTCGTTAGTGATTGCTTCCACACTAGTTCCTCAGCTGAGAAGATAAATCTGGCTGCCTTAGGAGGGGATTTTGCATGAGATTGCATAAGAGTATTTCTTATGTAGAAATATAAGATTAAGGGTTTAACTGCCAAATACCCTCTATACCTATATATTCCACTAGCTAAACCGGCAACTATGGACTATAAGAGAGCTAGACTAGTGCAGTCATGAGTCACCCTCTTATCTAAGTCAAAGTATTACTTCTCCCCTTGCAAGGGTAATGGTGCCCTATGCTATAATGAAAAAAAAAATAACCCTCAGGTTATGTTACTTATGAAATGAATAAGCATAAGATGTTCAAGCTTCATTCTATATTTACAATGAATGTCATAATATAATTGACTTTATGACTTTATGTCAAATTGGAAAGGCAAGTTATACTGGTTCTTGAAGGACCACGCTCTCTCCATCACTAAAACTTTGCAGGTTCTATTCCAATTGCCTTGATCACTCCTCTCTGTATTGCCTAGTTAACTCCTATTCATTTTCTTGGAGAAGCTTTCTCAGATCTGGCTGACTAAATCTCCAGCCCCTACGCCATATGAATTCTAAGTTCAGTATAGTCAGCATATTTGGTGACTCCTGGATTTATGTCTGTCTCTCTTTGCTCACTGTTGTATTCCTCTAGCATAGTTTTCAGCATGCAATAGAAAAATAGTAGGTATTGCAAGAAAGACTATAAGAAAAAAATACTAACAATATTTTAGAAAATAAGACACATCCTATATTTTTCAAAATGTCTGCAGATAATTTTCTTTCTCAATTCTGAAGCTATCCATTTATTCTCTCATTTTTTCCAAGATATTTCTCAGTCTTTCAGTATTTCCTAGACATTTGCTGGAACCTGGGCCTACAATGGTAAATAAAGAAAACAAATATATTCGTATGCAAATAATCTTTACTTTTAATCCTTTTTTTTCTCATTCTCTCTTTCCTTCAGACAGAAATAAAAATATATATTTATTTACTAAAATAGATTGATATTAATCATAATGCTCTATTTATATATCAGTGTTTGATGGCAAGCCATATGTTTGTTCTCTCCAAAAGTCCAAGAAATTAATTCATAGAAATAGATGTTTAATAATTGCTCAAATATCCAGAAAGAATTTCCTTTGGAAGGAGCTCCTGGTTTTATAGCTGTTCATCAGGATCCATATGTCTTAGACATGTCTTATCAAAAAACAAAACAAAGATCTCTTTTGTAGACTAAGGATGATGTATTTTAAATGACTTATTTAATGTTAAATAGGAATTTTCTCAAAGGATCAGAGCCTTTGGAAACCATTAGTAGACAGTAGGCATAGGATGAGGAAAATAAGCATGTGCTATTGAAAATTTAGGCATTTGAATATTCAATGTATGCATGTATTTCATGTATATGATATGTTAGTATATAACAGAGGATTGTCTGGAGCGACAGTTGGGTGTCAGAGAAGAAACTTGGAATTCTTGCAGCAGCATGTTGAATAAAAGCCAAATGTAATAAAGTACATCTGGCTTGCTTTCTAGAGAAATCTAAGAAATTAATTTTTCTGCCAACTAGACCCAATTTATATTGAATCCTTCCATACAAGCTAGTTAAGATTGATCATAGGTAGCTTTTACTCATATGATTTTTATTGGCCAGTTGCTTGTTTAGGGGAAATAGAGAAACAGCACAGAACATCTCTAATAAGAGTTTTACTGAGTTTGCACACCTTTATGCAACAGCAAGCTCCACCACAGGCAATATAGTAAGGTGATTTGACACTCCAGCCTGGCATATTCATACTTACAAACAAAAATAGCTCTGCCTAGCAGCCTACATATGAAACGGTCATATGCAATTCAACCACAAACCGCATCTGCTCAAAATTTTAGTAGATCACATAAAATGGAATCTGTTTCACATTTGCATAACAGCTGGAGCTTAATGCTGTGACTTTAATGCCTTAAACCAGAGGTTCTCGAAGTACAGTACCTGGACTAGCAGCGTCAACATCACATGGGAGCCTGTTAGAAAGGCAAATTCTCAGGCTCCATCCCAAATCTAGTGAGTCAGAAGCTTTGGGAGTGGGGTCCAGCAATCTGTATTTTAACAGGCCCTTCTAGGGATTCTGATGGACACTCAAGTTGGAGAACACTGCTCTAGGTTCAGGTAAACCAAGTTAAGCTCTGTCTCTGCAGTATTCTTATCATAAATGCCACTTTAATTCTTTGTTCCCCCTGTTTTTATTTCTAAATTAGAGATGCACTAAATCAACCTAAGATTTATTAGAGATGCATGTAATAGAAAGAGCACAGTCAGACAGGATTGGCTTCAACATTGGGAATTCCCTATGGGAATTATTGTTTAACAATAATAAAATCTAATTTTTATTGAGCAGTTAGTAGGTGCAAAACTCTATGCTAAGTGCTTTCTTTATCTCTCTGAGTCCTCACAGAAATACTGTAAGATAACATTATCCCCATTTTGTAGATGAATTGATGAGATTTAGAGACATTTTGTCAATTTAATAATTGGGATTGATACAAAGGATAATGAAGCTTACTTCAGAGGTTAGTTTGCACAATACTAGTTAAAAATAATTCTTTTCTGCCTACAAAACCTCTTTAATCCTGAATAAAATAGAATAATACCAGCAACCTCATAGAAAATTGGTGAGTTAAATGAGAGAAGCTGGATATTTAACATACTGTAGCTGCTCAAATCCTAAATTATTCTTTTCTTTTCACTCTGCAAGTATATGACAAGATATGATGATACAATGATATACACATTTAAAAGGTGATTAAAGAGATTATTGAAGCAAAAATTTAGAAATGTCACCTCTCCCTACCAATTTTACTTTTTACATGTTTTGCAACCTTCATTTCACTACACTGTAAATTTAAATATTTTGGAAAAGCTTGGTGGGATTTTATGTTTATGAAGCAGGAAGACTGTGGGGGACACACACTGAGGTTGCTGCCTGTGATCCCCATCTCCTGATATTATACTACCCTATAATACCGTCTCCTTGAGTATGGGTGAGGGTTTTGACTCGCTTCTCACTAGAAGACTATAACAAAAATGAGGAGATGCCACTCCATGATGTTGTTATATGAGATTACCATTTTCATCTTGCTAGCAGACTCACCCTATAGACTCTTCCTTCATGTCTTTTGATGAATCAAGCTGCCATGCTTTATGCTTCCCTATAGAGCAGTATGTGTTGTAAAGAACGGTGAGTAGCCTCTGGCTGACAGACAAAAAGGAATTGAGGTCCTTAATCTGACAGCCAGCAGGAACCAAATCCTGCCAACAATCACATTAGCTAGTAAGCAGATCCTTCCCCCACTGAGCTTTCAAATGAGATCTCAGGCCTGGATGACACCTTGATTGCAGTCTCCTCAGACCCTAAAGCAGAAGACTCAGGTTAGCACAGATTTCTTACCCACAGAAACTGTGATGTAATATGAATATATTATTTATTTAAACCTCTAAATGTGTTATGTAGCAATAAGTAATACAAAGGCAAAATAGTTTCGACTGTAAACCGTGTGATAGCTGCTACACTCACTTCTTTCATTAAGTCTCTGTGTGGTATACTGTTTGCAGGGAATGCTGGAAATCAGAATATAATTAGGCAAAAAGAGAAGTGATTTTCCTTAGCATTAAAATAAGAAGATGGCTGGGTGTGGTGACTCATGAATGTAATTCCAGTATTTTTAGAGTTGGAGGCAGGAGGACTGCTTAAGGTCAGGAGTTCGAGGCCAGCAAGGCAACATAGCCAGATCCTATCTCAACGAAAATGAAAAATTAAAGATTTGCTGGGCTTGATGTTGCCTGCCTGTGGTCCTAGCTACTTATAAGGCTGAGGCAAGAGGATGGCTTGAGCCTAGGAGTTCAAGGCTGCAGTGAGGCATGATCACACCACTGCACTCCAGCCCGAGGGACAAAGTGAGACCCTGTCTCTAAAAATAAATGAACGAATAAATAAATAAAATAAAAAGAAGATAATGTTCTCTATATAAGGCAGGGAAAGCTTATGGATTATTAGGAGGCTGCTGATAATAGAACCACAGAGCCAAGAAAGCGGATAACCAATAGAAATTTGATCAGCCTTCTCCTCCTGGACTACACCTTCTCACCTGTTCTTCAAAGTTCTCAGCCAGGGATCCTGTCTGCTGGAAACATGCCCAGAGAATTCCATTCTGACATGACCCACTTCTGTGATGACATATATCCTGACTCAGCTCTTTTGTCTGGTTGTATTCCTGCCTCCTTCGTCTCATTCACCAGATACTGAGCCCTTTGTCTTTACCTCTTCCTTTACCTTCTTTTTCTGGCTTTTCTTTTGCTCCTCCTCAACTTCATTCTTTACATGAGATTCCATATACAGCACATGCTCAATCCATGATTAGCATATGTAAACTAATTTAAGAAAAAAATCATTGACTTCTTCAATATTTTTCAATAGAAGAGTCCAATAGGTGGGTGCTGGTGTCAGACTCAGCTAGTTCCAGGTGCTTACACCATGTTGTCCTTCATTGTCCTTGTGTCTTCTTCTTGTTCTTCCTCCCACTTGTCCTTCTCCCTGTTTCTGCAACTCTTTTTATTCTCTCTTTTCCTATCTTTCCCTGACTTTTTTTCCCCCAAATTCCACATTTATCCCCATTGTCTTCATTCTCAAGAAAAGATTTTCTATGTAGCTCAATGCTGCCTCCACCAACTCCAGGATTACTGCATCTTCCAAGCTAACCTTTTCTTCATTAGTGTTCTTAAACATTTCTGTAAAGGACTTATCTTGTCTCTGGTTATATAATGTGTATTTGTCTGTTCTCAGGCTGCTAATAAAGACATACCCAAGACTGTGTAATTTATAAAGGAAAGAGGTTTCATTAACTCACAGTTCCATATGGCTGGGGAGGCCTCACAATCATGGTGGAATGTGAAGGAAAAGCAAAGTCACATCTTGCATGGTGGCAGGCAAGAGAGAATGAGAGACAAGCAAAAGAGGAAACCCCTTATCAAATCAGATTTTGTGAGACGTATTCACTACCCCAAGAACCAGATGAGGAAAACTGGCCCCATGATTCAAGTATCTTTCAATTATCTTTCAGTTATCTTTTCCTCCCACAATATGTGGGAATTATGAGAACCACAATTCAAGATGAGATTTGAGTGGGGAGACAGCCAAACCCTATCATCATGTGACCACCTCTGGGTGAATTGTTTTGTCTGAGGGAATAATCTCCTATCTGGCCAATCTGGGCAAAGCCTCTACCTTGATCAGTTGAGTTACATGACTGATTGACATAACAGAGTGTCATGGAGTCATTGTAGGGGATTTCCAAAAGGAAAAATATCAGGACAAACTCAGAAAAAGCAGCAGATGGCCATGAAGTAATAAGTGAAAATCCAACCAGCTTCAGGTACAGCCTTACATCCCATTTAGTATTTCCTGAGACTGGTGTCCTCATCTCTTTAGTTGTCTGTTTTTCTATACCTGTGTCTCCCTGCCCCTCTCCCTTAAGAAATGTCCCAGTCTATCTAGAACCTAATTTCATGATAAATGAACTCTTCATCACTAAACCTTTCAAAGGCTACTTCTCCAACTATCCCAGCTTTTTATTTTTTTTTACTTTTAAAGCAATTTTTATACCACTATTCCTAAATTTTCAGTCACATTCCTTTTCAGAGGAATCTCCCTGACCCTTCCCTTCTCTTCGCAAAGCCACTGTTTGATCCAGTTACATTTTTATATATAAACATTTTAAGCAGCTCCAGTTGCTGATTTTACAAAGCATGGAAACATAGAATATGAAATGATCAATGATAGGAGCATTTGGCAGAAACTGTTAAAACTGAGCAACAACCTACTGATATATTCTTGCCATATAAGTGATTTGTTTGCTTTTATTTATTTAACTTTTATTTTAAATTTGGGGTTACATGTGCAGGTTTGTTACATACGTAAACTCGTGTCATGAGGATTTCCTGTACATATTATTTCATCACCCAGGTATTAAGCCTAGTATCCATGAGTTATTTTTCCTCATCCTCTCCTCCCTCCCACTCTCTGCCCTCTGATAGGCCCTGATGTGTGTTGTTCCCTTCTATGTGTCCACGTGTTCTCATCATTTAGCTCCCACTTGCAAGTGAGAACATGAAGTATTTGGTTTTCTGTTCCTGCATTAGTTTTCTAAGGATAATGGTCTCCAGCTCCATCCAATCTGGGTGATCCTTAAGCTGGACCCTGAAGATTCCATACCGTGCAGATGGCTCATTCTTTTCATCTTACAGTACTATGCAGAGTTGCTTGTGATTTTCCCTACACCCCTTCTCAATCCTGCTTCTGTTCGCTCTGACTTCTCCATCCAGACTACCCTTTCTTACCTGTCCTTTGAAGACTAATCAGGCTCCCCTCGCCTGGTGCACTGTCCCAGGAAACTCTGCTCTAAAGTGAAGAATACTCTTGGGTGCTTCTGCGTAACCTGACCTTTCTCTTTAGTCCAGCTGGCTTTCCATCTTCCTTGGAAAACTGTTGAGCTTCAAGAGAACAAGCACTGTGCCTTTTGTCTTCTTAGACCTTGAAATTAGCAGCATATACGGCACATAGTAGGTGTGTAAATGCTCATTAGGTTAAAAGAATCCATAGCACCATATAATTTACACGATGACCCTGTGTGACAGATATAATATATTATAACATTTTATTCTAATTTTTAAATAATACTTGCTCACTACAGAATATTTGGAAAATACCACATAGTATAAGGTATAAAATAAAATCAACTATTATTTGTGGCATGCAGAGACAATCACTGTTAACATTTTGGCACACTTATTTCTAAGCATTTTGTTTGTACTAAAAAAAAAATGGAGTTATGGTCTATAACACTTCCCAGCTTGTTTTTCATCACTCTTTATGCAGTACAGGGCCTTTTTTGTTTCCACCCTCTCAGAAATGTTCATCCTTTTCTTAAAAAGCCCTCCCCCTTCCTCCTCCTACAGAACCCTTGCCTGTACTCTTCTAGTCAATAACTCAATTGCCCTCCCTTTGCGACTCCTTCTTTGAGAACTTTATTTATTACTTTCTCTGTGCTGGCCCACTACCTAGTACATGCATTTCTTCACATACATTTTCTTTAAGTATGTGTTCACGAGATATTTCACTCTTTCCACACTGAGCATCTCACCTTTACCTGTCCTCTTCCACTGTTCTTTCTGCTCCCTTTTTGCCCCTTCCGCCCTCTTCTTTACATGAGATTTGATATATGTGATACACTCAATACCTGAATGCAAAATAAATGAACTATGCTAGGAGCTTCTTTCGGTTCTGTACCTGATATAGATGAGGAAAGAGAGGCACGTGCAACTTACGTCTATTGCCCAAGGACACGCTGGTATGCTTCTTTCATTTTCTTGCAAGAGAAAAAAAAAATCAATAGTCTGCAGTGTCTTTCCAATAAATTAAACACACATGAACCAGTTTTACATCTAGAATGGGCATTTGCAATAATGTTGATGCTCCAAAATAAAATTGAGTGCTCCCCATCACTGAAACGTCTTAACACCAGTGAGTTCATGCTTCCATCAGCCAAGAGCTGCAGTTGGACCTTCCCTTAGGATTGGCTTCACTTCAGGACTGGCAGCTTTTCCAGGAACAAACTCACCTTATTCTCTGAACTGGATAATCTACATAAAGGCTGAGGTGGTTTGTATCACTGGGTGTGTTAGTTTTAAGGCCAAAAAAAAGAAGCCAAGGAAAAGAGAGGCCTTGTCAGATAAAAGCGTCGTTCACACTATTTTCCTCCCCCTTCTCCTGACTTCGCTTTGCTGAACTATAATTGTACCATCTTCTCCTTGAGGAAGACAGAAAAATAAAAGCTCTCACTTGCGCAGATAAAGAGCCTGTTCTCCCCGAAGTCATTCCAGCAATGCACAGCAGAGCTTCCCACAAACATGAGAGTGGTGTGATCCGTCTACAAAGAACATTTTCCAGATGCTGCCTTCTGTGCTTTTGGGTTATTTTCTTGTTTGTTTATTTGAGAAAATGACACAGAAATAAAGAAAAACAAGAGGTACATGGGTTTTGCTCACTCAGTAATATCCAATAGATAATTCTAAATGGATTTTCCTGAAAGCAACTGAAGAGAGATTGGACAGTTGCGTGTGGAAAAAGAAAGTGCAATCGTGGAGTCCATTACTAGAATCTGTAGGGCTCAAATGTTGCATGTCCTATTCTGACAGGGTATTATTTTAACCCATTAGCAGAAAATAAACTCTTTGGTATGATCTGAGTTCTCAATCCAAGTCATCTCTTAAATCAGTCAGCAATGTTTATTGAGTGCCTACTCCGTACACAGATGGAAGTGTTCAGTAGCGTTTTGTTAGCATGTTCACTTAGTGCTATTGCATTCATTCAAGAATATGAATCCAGGCCGGGCACGGTGGCTGATACCTGTAATCCCAGCACTTTGGGAGGCCGAGGCAGGCAGGTCATTTGAGGCCAGGAATTCAAGACCAACCTGGGCAACACGGTGAAACCCCACTGCTATTAAACATACAAAAATTAGCTGGTCATGGTGATGCTTACCTATAATCCCAGCTGCTTGAGAAGCTGAGGCATGAGAACTGCTTGAACCTGGGAGGCAGAGGTTGCAATGAGCCGAGAGCGTGCCACTGCACTCCTGCCTGGGCAACAGAGCAAGACTCCGTCTCAAAAAAAATAAATAAATAAAATAAATAAATAAATAAATAAATAAATAAAATAAAATGAAAAAATAAAAGAATCTAAAAGAGTTCTCTCAGTCTGTGCTTCAAAAGAGTCTGACTAGAATGCGCAACAGCATACTAACCACCTCATAGTCTAAATAAAATTAGTGCCAAAAATGCCAAATCAAGATTACTATGGTTAATTTCTCTTCCATGTCCCTAATTATAATAGTACTTAGGAACATGGAATAATTATACCAGTGGTTTTTGAATTTAGATTGCCAAGCCCCAGGCCTAATATTTCTGAATCTAGTCCTTTTCCAGTGATGCAGATGCTGCTGGTTTAGGACACCAGTTTGAGAAACACTGCTCATCCAGGCGTGGTGGCTCATGCTGGTAATCCCAGCACTTTGGGAGGCTGAGGTGGGAGGATCACTTGAGACCAGGAGTTTGAGACTAGCCTGGACAACAAAGCAAAACCTTGCCTTCATACAAAAGAAAATAATTAGCCAGGCATGGTGGCATGAGCCTATAGGCCCAGACACTTTGGGGGCTAAGGCAGAAGGACAATTTGAGCCCAGGAGTTCAAGGCTGCAGTGAGCTATGATCATGCCATTGGGTTCCAGCCTGGGAGGCAGAGCAAGATCCTCTAAAAATAATAATAAAGTGAAAAAGAGAAAGGGTGGAGAACAAGAAATGTTATCTTTGTTTAATATTACTTATATACCAGGAAATACATTATAGTTATATAATATTGTCTCATTTATCTTTGTTTAATGTTATTTATATACCAGGCAATGCATTATAGTTATATAATATTGTCTCATTTAGTTCCTATAATAAACCATTGCAGGCTGGGCAGCACAGTGGCTCACACCTGTAATCCAAGCACTTTGGAAGGCCAAGGCGGGCAGATCACCTGAGGTCAGGAGTTCAGGATCAGCCTGGCCAACATGGAGAAACCCTGTGTCTACTAAAAATACAAAAATTAGCCAGTCATGGTGGTGCGCATCTGTAATCCCAGCTACTTGGGAGACTGAGGCAGGATAATCGCTTGAACCTGGGAGGTGGAGGTTGCAGTGAGCTGAGATCGCACCACTGCACTCCAGCCTGGGAGACAGAATGAGACTCTGTCTCAAAACAAACAACAAACAAACAAACAAACAAAACACTGCTCTATTTTATTTTTTAAACGAAACACTTTCTACAACATAGGGATAATAACAACAAATGCTACCTCCCTCATAGACTTCTCTTTCTGTCATTCAATATTTTTTCTCCTTAATTAATTGGAACTCCTTGAATGACAATAAAACTTGAATGAATTATTTTCCTGGTTAGTGCGCCTTTTCGAAACATAGTTTCTCAGAACTCAGTAAAAGTATATGATTTAATTATAGCTAGCAGTGTAGAATGAGCAATATTGCATTTATTTGCTCACATGGTCATTTATTTGTTTATTCAACACATACTCCACATGTATTATTTGTCATGGTCAGATTGTGTGCTCCAGAGTGGAGATATAAAGGTAAATATGGCATAAATGGTTTTAGGGGGTCAAAATCTAGTGGGAAACACAAGTGAATATAAAACTAACAGACATTATTGCACAAGGATAGCAGCAAGTACAAGGAAGGAGCTCCACTATAACCAGATTGGAGAGCGATGCCAAGAAATACATCCAGAGCACATGATGCTTGTGCTACTGTGGTCCGTTTGAGAGTTTATGTCCCTAGTGGGGCTAGTGCTTGGCTTCTAGAATGGTGCTATGGCTAGACATGGAGCAGTTTGTTGTTGTTGTTGTCGTTGTTTAGTTTTCTTTAGATGCAATCGATATAAAAAAATTGCACACATTTAATGTAAATATTTTGATAAGTTTGGACATATGCGCACGTCCATGATACCATCATCATAACAAAGTACTATACATATCCATCACCTCCAAAAATATTCGTGTGTTCTTTTGTGTACGTGTGTTTTTTTTTGTAAGAGCACTGAAGATCTATCCACTTAACATACAGTATTTTAAAGTGCACAATCCTGTACTGTTAACTATAGGTTTTATGAGATACAGCAGATCTCCAGAACTTAAATGTCTTGTATTACAGAAACGTTACACTCACTGCAAAGCAATTTCCTTTTTCCCCCTCTCTCCAGTCCCTGGGAGCCACCATTCCGTTCTCTGCTTTTGTGTTTGACTATGTTAGAGACCTCATGTGAGTGGAATCATGAAATATTCGTCCCTCTGAGATTCACTTAACTCATTTCACTTAATGCCCTCGAGGTTCATCTCAGTTGTCACGAACAGTAGAATTTCCTGCTTTTCTAAGGCTGGTTGATATTCCATTGTATGTATATGCCATACTTTCTTCATTCATTCATCTGTTGGTGGACATTTGTGTTGTTTCCATATCATGGCTAATTGGAAATAATGCTGCAGTGCAGCCACTATGAAAAACAGTACTAAGTTTCCTTAAAAAATGAAAAACAGGGACGGGCACGGTGGCTCACGCCTGTAATCCCAGCACTTTGGGAAGCCGAGGCGGGTGGATCACAAGGTCATGAGATCGAGACCATCCTGGTCAATATGGTGAAACCCCATCTCTACTAAAAAAAAAAGTACAAAAGTTAGCTGGGCGTGGTGGTGCATACCTGTAATCCCAGTTATTTTGGGAGGCTGAGATGGGAGAATTGCTTGACCCCGAGAGGAAGAGGTTGCAGTGAGCCGAGATCACACCACTGCACTGCAGCCAGGTGACATAGTGAGACTCCGTCTCAAAAAAAAAAAGAAAAACAGAACTACCATATAATTTGGCAATCCAATTTCTGGGAATGTGTACAAAAGAATACAGCAGATATTTTTGTTTATTCGTTTTAACAAGGACCCAATGCAATGATAATGGGGAGGCTAAGAGTATCTGGCTGAGAGATTGATCTGCCCTCTGAATTTGAATCCTGATCTCCTCACTTGACACCTTCATGACCTTGGGCAAGTCATTCAATTTCCCTAAGTCCCATTTTTAAATTTGTCATATATAGATAATAGTAGTGTTTTGATTGTGTTGAAGTTCAAATTCAAAATAATGCAGTTAAGGTTTCTTGTTCAATGACTACCTGGTACATAGGCAGTAGTATGTAGCAAATAGGAATAAAGTGGTAATGAATATAAAAAAATTGTAAACACAAGTTATAATCCTACACTGATGAGAAGGCAAGATTTGTTCATTGGTAACAGAGATTTAAAATGAATCTGCACAACCTTGCCCAGCATACTTGTAGAACATCCACATATTTAATTTGTAAGCTAATTTTTCCATGCAGCCTTCTGAGTTATTCATTAAAATTTCTGTCTGAAAAGAGAACAGAAGAAAATTTTACCCAGTTGGTTCAAAGTAAGTTGCAGTAACTTAAGGCTTGAGGAGTGTGAATGGCCTGGCCAGCCATTTTTACTAGCTCAACATAGTCTCCTTAAAGATCTGTTCCATTTTTACTCACATCTGTAATTCTATTTTTTAACACAAGCCTCAGACACAGAAGGTGGCAGCCCATGAATATTGAATGAATAAACAATGTAAGTGTTTGCTTTAATTTTGTTCTTCTAATTTTTGAGTCACATTGTGAAAATGCAGTAAGTCTGAACTGTATATCCAAAACAAAGAGAGAATGTAAAGAAATAACATGTATTAAAATACTTTCCTCATTAGGCACACTTTTTTTTAATTTTTAATTTTTTTGAGATGGAATCTCTCTCTGTCGCATAGGCTAGAGTGCAGTGGCGCGATCTGGGCTCACTGCAAGCTCTGCGTCCCGGGTTCACGCCATTCTCCTGCCTCAGCCTCCCGAGTAGCTGGGACTACAGGCACCCGCCACCACGCCGGGCTAATTTTTTGTATTTTTAGTAGAGACGGGGTTTCACCATGTTAGCCAGGATGGTCGCGATCTCCTGACCTCATGATCCGCCCGCCTCGGTCTCCCAAAGTGCTGGGAATAAAGGCGTGAGCCACCGCACCTGGCCAAGCACAGTTTTAATGCTTTAATGCAGCTTCAACAATTTCTGCATAAAAAGGCTTCTGTCCACAATTTTATTTAAATTATTGGCTTATAGTTAAGCCCCATGGTGGGGTAAAATAGTTTTAATGTTTTCTGCATTTTTTGTGTGTTTATGAGCATTAAGAAATGGTTTGCCAATACTTCAATTAATATTGAATGAAATAATGCAGTTGGCATTGATTTTTCTGGTATTATCCTTTTATTACAATTTATGGTGTGAAACTTATAGCATTCATGAGATCAATCGTTGGGATTGGGAATGGGCTCACCACATGGAATAAAACACATGACCATAACAGTTAGTATATAACGATAACCTCAAGCTCTGCTAATCGTATGCTCTTCTTTCCACTCTGTGCTGTCTTCCTATTTTCAGCCTTGAGAGCCGTTTCATATGATTTTTGCCAATAAAGGATGGCCTATAAACTGGCACTATCCCTACATTACGATGGTCTCTCATTTTAAGAAAACTTCATGCACTTATCTCTAAGTTGGCACCACTGAGGTCAAACTGTTTCTTTGATGCTAAAGAACACATTTGGTGCCACTATACATGTTATAACACATTTTTTTCTTTTTTCTGAGACGGAGTCTCTCTCTGTCGCCCAGGCTGGAGTGCAGTGGCGCGATCTCAGCTCACTGCAACCTCCGCCTCCCGGGTTCAAGCGATTCTCCTGCCTCAGCCTCCCAAGTAGCTGGGACTACAGTCTGTGCCACCACACTGGCTAATTTTTTGTATTTTTAGTAGAGATGGGGTTTCACCATGTTAGCCAGGCTGCTCTTGATCTACTGACCTCGTGATCCGCCCGCCTCAGCCTCCCAAAGTGCTGGGATTACAGGCATAAGCCACCGCACCCGCCCTATAACACATTTTTTTTGCAAAGGCCTTTTGTGATGTTTGATAATTTTTTAAAAATTTGCTCTTCTTGTACTTCAGTGGATACGAAAAGTATACTATTTGGACACGCATGTACTAGGGTTCTGTATCTGTTTTCCCAGTATGTGATTTCCCAGAATGTTTCTTCTTAATTAAGACAATCTCTTTCACCCTTACCATTAACTGAGTCCCACTTTGATTCACTAATAAAGATAAACGTCCCAATTTTTCACCCGATGAAAACAGAATCTTTAGCCCATGGTTGCCTAATATCAAGATTTTGGGGCACTTGGATTCTACAGGAATATTTCATATACCTTGTAGTTTATCATTATGTTATCTGTGGTAAAATTTTTAGTAGTAGATCGAGTAAAAGGACAAAATAGGTCAAAAAGGGAAAAGTTCTGTGAGTGACAGTAAAAGGATTTAAAATTAGGACTTGATAATTTTATTAATTTAATAAATGGAAAAGTAAGTGCTTGTGTCTTAATACAGCCAATTAAAATGATCTTATGATATCTCTTGCTGCTGCAGAGTGAGTGATGGAGTCTCTCTTTTGTGGTTAAGCATAAAAGTCATTAATTTTAATGAGAGTAATGTGTGTGTGTGTGTTTTTTTTAAGTAGAAATTAATGAAGTGAGCACATTGAAACTTTGCACTGGCCTGAATGGAATGGTAAAAGCATCATCTCCCAGGCCAATAATGCACTATTCTGGAAGCCTTTGTGTACCACGTGCCATGGACAATGATTACCAAGGAGTTATTGCGTCAATAGGTAAATCTCTAAAAATGAGTGACATTGGCACTAAATTGTAAGTCAATTCTCATGATTGCTAATATTTCAAAGATTGCTATTACCTTCATAAAAGAGGCATATCTCACTTTATACAGCAGTTAAGAAGCAAAAATTATTTTATTACACTGAATAAGGCAGCACAAAATCATGTTTTCTTCTGATGAGGTTGATAACAGAAAAACTTCATCCGAATTAAATTTAAGGGAGTTTAATTGAGCAATGAACCATTCGCGCATTGGGCAGCCCCCAGAATCACAGCAGATTCACAGATACTCCAGGGATGTCTCGTGGTCAGAACAAATTTATAGACCAAAAAGGTAAAGTGACGCACAGGAATTGGAAGTGAGGTACAGAAACAGTGAGATTGGTTAAAGCTCGGCATTTGCCGTATTTGAACGCAGTTTGAACACTCGGCAGTCTATGAGTTGCTGAAGTATGGCCGCTGGGATTGGCCAACGCTCAGCTATAGTTACGGGTGCATACTATTAAATTCAGTTTTCAATTTTGTCTGACAATTAAGCTAGGTTACAGCTGATCACAAGGACTCAAATATAGAAGTACAGAGTCCTTCTCAGGCCATATTTAGTTTGCTTTAACAAGGAGATAACACACTACGTGATCTTTTTCCCTCTGGGATTCCCCTTATGTAAGAGTGCTCAGTCTCTCCAGGGCACTCACAAACTACTTTTATTCCAAACGTCTGGGTGGAGCCTTAGGACAAGTATTTTTAACGAGTACTTTAAAGGGTCAGGATGCACATTTCTGAGGATTCCTACTATGAGCCACACTTCTAGCTATGTGGGAATTATTATTGTTATTATTGTTATTGTTATTATTATTATTATTATTTTGAGATGGAGTCTCACTCTGTTGCCCAGGCTGGAGTGCGGTATCTCGGCTCACTGCAACCTCCGCCTCCCGGGTTCAAGCGATTCCCCTGCCTCAGTCTCCCGAGTTGCTAGGACTATAGGCACAAGCCACCATGCCTGGCTAATTCTTTGTATTTTAGTAGAGATGGGGTTTCACCATGTTGGCCAGGATGGTCTCTATCTTCTGACCTCGTGATCTGCCCGCTTTGGCCTCCCAAAGTGCTAGGATTACAGGCTTGGGCCACCCTGCGCGGCCAGTAATTGTCTTTATAATGCAAACCTGGTCTATGTCGCCTCGTCCATTCTTTTCCTCCCTTCCCCTGGAACACCTTTTAAAATAAAAACTGGTGAAACCGTTATCTTAGATGTTATACATTGGAGACCTATGTATTAAGATATGCTTAGTTGGGCCTACACAGTTAAAAAATTTTTTTGAATATGTTACCAATGTTTAAATATGGGAGATTTCATAGAAAACAATAGATTTAAAGCTGCTTTTAAAATATTATTCCAACAGGACTAATCCAGGCCTTTGAGCATAAAACTCACCATACCTTATCTGATTCACTAGTTCCCAACTCTTCCTTTTAATGATACCAATCTACCTCTAGTTTTTAGCTAATGGGAGACCAGATATTTGAGGTTTCTGGAGCCTCTACAAAATATTCTCCCCTTCATGTCAAACATTCCCTTCAATGCCTGCACAAAAATTTCGCGTCTAGCCAAAGCTTGAGTTTTCCTCCAAACATATTTTCTTAGTGTTGTTTAATTTTTAACTCTGCTTTCCTATAGGTTTTGCAGTGAATGTCCAGCCTCCAAAATCCTAAGATAGGTTTGTCTTTTCTTTGAAATGCAGGTCTCAGACAATTAAAGTAGTGTCAATTTTTCCTTCTTTAAATTTCTATTACCATTGGTTACTAGTGTTTAAGTCAATTTCTTTTTTTTTCTTTTTCTTTTTTTTTTCTTTTTCTTTTTTTTTTTTTTTTTTTTTTTGAGATGGAGTCTGGCTCTGTCGCCCAGGCTGGAGTGCAGTGGCGCGATCTTGGCTCACTGCAAGGTCCGACTCCTGGGTTCACACCATTCTCCTGCCTCAGCCTCCCGAGTAGCTGGGACTACAGGCACCTGCCACCACGCCCGGCTAATTTTTTGTATTTTTAGTATTTTTAGTAGAGATGGGGTTTCACCGTGTTAACCAGGATTGTCTCGATCTCCTGACCTCGTGATCTGCCCGCCTTGGCCTCCCAAAATGCTGGGATTACAGGCGTGAGCCACTGCGCCCAGTGAAGTCAATTTCTTAACAAATTGTACTGTTTATCTACTTTAAACTTTACAGGCCGGCTGCAGTGGCTCACGCCTGTAATCACAGCACTTTGAGAGGCAGAGGCAGAAGGATCACCTGGGGTCAGGAGTTCGAGACCAGCCTGGCCAAAATGGTGAAACCTCGTCTCTACTAAAAATACAAAAATTAGCCAGGTGTGGTGGCAGGTGCCTATAATCCCAGCTACTCGGGAGGCTGAGGTAGGAGGATAGCTGGAATCCGGGAGGTTGAGATTGCAGTGAGCCGAGATCGTGCCATTGCACTCCAGCCTGGGTGACAAGAGTGAAACTCCATCTCAAAAAGTTTACAGAGCTGGGACCCTAAATTAATTACCTGTATATCCCTAAGGCATAGACTCAAACCAGGCATGTTGTAGTTGCACGTCAATATTAAATACGGCTGGATGGATGAATCTATATTATAAACATACTTGGTACCTATAGCTTCTGTGAGCTGGCTTCAGTTTTTATTATTATTTCACATAATCTGCAAGGGATGCAGAAAATCAGTTTCAGTCAGTGGTGGAAAAACAAAGATTAAAGGAAGAAGGAAACTTTGTCTAGCATGCTAGTTACTCACATTCCTTCAGGCATTTATGAAAACAAAATTACAACCAATTACATGCAGAAACTGAAAATACCTAGATTATGGGTACTTTTCATCCCAGTTCTCATGGAGTTGTTGAGAGGAGTGGCTCAGCCAAAGTATATAAAGGGTTTAGAATAGTTCCTGGCACCTATAAATATTCAATAGGAGTTAATTATATGTTGGGATTATTATGTTATCTAACTCTAGGTCATGTGCTTTCCTTCATTTCCTATAATATCCACTTAAAATTTATTAAATCCATGCCTGCTCATGCACTCTTTTGGCAAGATTCCCTGAACACCTTCTGTGTGTAAGCACATGCTGAGTCCTTTTGCCTGGAGTGTGCTTTCCTGTGTCCCAGGACTGCCTAACCTCTCCTCATCCTCCACGGTGACTTTCAGATGTCAGATATGCCTTCCAACCTTCACTGACTCCTTGCCCTAGAGAGAGAATCCTTTATCTGCACTCCTCCTGCCCCTTGGGACACACTCTATTGTCTGAGCTCATTACAAAATATTAACATCAGTTGTTTTCATAAATACACACAGGGCTACAACATACAGCTATGAAGGTTGTGCCCTTTATGGAATCTTATGACAAGTCAGGGATGCTCAAATGTAGCCCTGGTGATTGGACAATGCTCTTTGGCATGAGCTGAACCTAATTAGTACAATAAAATGGCACATGTTTTGCAATGTATTTGCCCAAAGAGATTGCATTTTATGATTAATTGGAACCAAGAGGAGCGCCTTTTTCTAATTGGCACAATTGGTCATGGTGACCCTGACCATGTCCTCATTAGCACGTGCGTTCTTTGACATCTGGAATCACATTCACCTTAAAATTCATTAATTTATACATCCATTCATTTAATCATTAAACAAATATTAATTGAGAACTTACTTTGTTACAGTCACTTATCTTAGAGTCTGGTTCTCTGTCCTTTGCCCCTTACGTGGTGTATAAAATAAATTTTTAAAAGCCAGTGAGTTGATTTCTATTATTGCTTTACAAAAGGATAAGTCATACTTTTTCTTTCTTTCTTCTTCTTCTTCTTCTTCTTCTTTTTTTTTTTTTTTTCACGGAGTCTCACTCTGTTGCCCAGGCTGGAGTGCAGTGGCACCATCTTGGCTCACTGCAAGCTCCACCTCCCAGGCTTAAGTGATTCTCCTGCCTCAGCATCTTAAATAGCTGGGACTACAGGCACCCACCACCACATCTGGCTAATTTTATATTTTTAGTAGAAACAGGGTTTCACCATGTTGGCCAGGCTCCTCTCGAACTCCTGATCTCAGGTGATTTACCTGCTTCAGCCCCCCAAAGTGCTGGGATTACAGGCATGAGCCACTGCATCCAGCCATACATTTTCAATTCTATTTGTCCTTTCTAATCCTAAACTGATGCTTAAAGTGATTAAGTGACTCAGCTAAGTTAAAACATCAAGTGGGTGATAGAATTAGGATGTTTAACCAGATTCCTGCTACTAGCAAACAGGACCGGCCCATGTATTAAACAGACAAATCACTGATAATCCTTTGACTCCATTGAATGAGGGGTCTTCCTGGGTTCAATCGCTGTAGCTAAGGTGAAAAATCCTGGAACAAAACACAGTTGCTAGGGCACAAGATTTGCTAAGAAAAATGAGCACCAATCATCAGAATCAGCAGGGGAGATATTTCACGTGGATTCCCAGTGGGTCTACAGTAAGGGCAAGATGTTTTTATTTTTTCATGTAAGCTGTGGTGATAATTTGGAGAAACAGCTGTATTTGAAAATCATAATTTTAAAACACTGTTACCCAGTACTGTTAAAATGCTCTCTGTTGTATTTAGATGAGAAACTCTATTAAGTTTACTTCAAGTTGAAGTAACTCTTACATTTCACCCCTGTGGCTCATTTGGTGAAATAAAAACAGGCACCCAGGGAAAATTATAAATAAAAGTACAGTAGCATGGGTTTAGGTTCCTAATAACTGGAAATAAATTGAAGTAATTTGGAAACTTTAAGATAGATAGATAGATATGTAAATAGATTACAGTGCTTCTACACAGTATCAGCAGAGGTTACATTACTTTGAATATCTCCCAGGGAGCACAAATATGAATAATAACTAATATATTTTGATCTTTATAAAAACCCTTTAAGATATAAAAAGTATTCATTATTACTTCCACTTTTGGGATGAGAAAATCAAGAGTTTCAGTTTAAATGGCAATCTCTAGGAAACAGCAAGCTCAGAATGGCTCTCCGAACATTAAATGTTGAATTTCTGCAAATGCACCGCTTCATGGTGAAGAAGAAGAAGAAGAGGAAGAGGAAGAGGAAGGAGGAGGAGAAGAAAAAGAAGAAGAGGAAGAAGAAGAAGAAGAAGAAGAAGAAGAAGAAGAAGAAGAAGAAGAAGAAGAAGAAGGAGAAGGAGAAGGAGAAGGAGAAGGAGAAGGAGAAGAAGAAAGAAGGAGGAGGAGAAGGAAGGGAAGGGAAAGGGGGAAGAAAGAGAATAAGAAGAGGAGGAGAAAGAGGAGGAGGAGGAAGAAGGAGGAGGAGGAGGAGAGGGAGAAGAAGAAGGAGAACAATGAAGAGAGGAGAAGAAGAGGAAAAGAATTCTTGACCTTCTTTTTCTCAGTTTGGAACTTGGCAGCAGTGTTAAAAGAATTATTATTTAATGTGCCAAACTTCAATGAATGAGCAAAATTTGGTCCTTTGGCATAACATAGAGGCTGAATATCATGAAATGGATGTCTGGAATCATTGTCCTATTCAAACTATTGGACTTCAGGTGATTGAATTGCTATGCTTCTTTTGAATTTAGTGAAATGTTTAGAATACTGTTTATTCACTCAACAGAAATAATATTGAGTCATCTCTTCATTCCAGCTATAATAAAAGATACTAGATAGGAAGAACCTATAGCCATTGATTTTGAAAAGCGAAGAGGTTAATTGGAGACACCATAAACACATGAGTGAATGAACCGTCACAGACTGACTTGTAACAGAGATATACATGTGGACTTAGTCTGATTCAATGGAACAGGGAATGTTCTGAACTGAGTGTCAAATTTTAGCTAAGCCAAGTTAACTCAAAAGGAGAAAGAAAGCTCATCTTTGTAGACAGGGGAGTAAATGCAAGACACGTATAGGTGGGTGTATTTGAGAAACTCAACAAGTATAACCAGTTGTTCCCTTCCTAAACAGTGATAGAAGTTCTTAGACTTATTTGTAAATATCTGATATTTATCACATACCTATAACGTGCATAGCACTGGCTTGCACAGGTCCCTGAGGAGCAAAGGGCAAACTTCAAATACTCCAAAAGTAGCACCTGTGATAAATGAATGGGTGAACCCTGTTCCCATGAAATATATGAAAAAGAAATGGCAATATGGATCTAAAATCAATGCAGCTTTTGGAGAGAAAGGGCATCAGGTGCGTTAACAGCAGCTTTCATCTCTCAGCAGCTAGTAATGTAATGGACTATGACAGGGAGAGATACCTGGAGATCTGCAGGAAACATTAAATGTCAGAAGAAACAGACTCAGGAG